>NC_000005.10:19701760-20004790 GCF_000001405.40 Homo sapiens | reverse complement strand
CTTTGTAGTGATTTCTTCAGTGCCACACATTTTAAGTCTTTTCTTCTTTATCAACAATGTGTTCTGTAGTACAGCCATTCTGTAATCCAACCCATCTATTGAACTATTTATAAAGGTTTGACATCTTTTAAATTTACAAATGTTTTCTATCCCAGAGTTTTATTTATTCATTTCCAAAGTTAATAATTGTTCCATCTTAGATATCTTCATTACTGCTTAAGTTTCCTCATACGTTGGCTAATCGTTGGTGGCCTATTCATATTTATGAAAAATGAAGTTAATTAATGAGTGAAGACAATAGCTTGCCATGCAATTGGGTGAAGTGTTCTCTCCAATCGACCCCACCCTTTAAAGGGAGGGCTGAATGCAAGAATTATGTATATGGAAGGAGCTGGATATTTAGACCTCCTTTAGCATTCATGTGAGGAATACAGGATGACAGGTCAGAGACAATGCCCAGTTGCTAAAATAGTGAAGGTTTCACCTTGATGTAATACTCTTTGCTGTGCAGAAAACAGGAGGTTCCCTTGCGGGTGGGGGGCGCTGTTGCTGGAGCCTTGGTAAGAAAAGAAAGTGGCTTGGACCAGTAAAAATAGTAAAAATCATTCCAGCCAGATCCAGACCATGTCGTGGCCTTGCTGATGAGTTAGAAAACTAAATGAGAGATATGAAGGACAATCCCTAGAAGTTTGGATTGCGAGCAAACAGCAAGTAGTTGGCTTCAGATAAGAGCACACGTATCACTGTAACATGAGAATGAACTAAAGTATGATACAAAAAACGATATATTAGATGCAAGTAGTTTACTAGATTTGCTGACAAGAAAAAATAGTTATTTTGTTATTATGTCTTTTGTTTTTTGTTTGTTTGTTTTTGT
Organism: Homo sapiens; assembly: GCF_000001405.40. Taxonomy (NCBI): domain Eukaryota; kingdom Metazoa; phylum Chordata; class Mammalia; order Primates; family Hominidae; genus Homo; species Homo sapiens. Next base: position 20,003,913 of record NC_000005.10, on the reverse strand, counting down.
TTGTTTGTTTGTTTTTTGAGACGGAGTCTCGCTCTGTCGACCAGGCTGGAGTGCAGTGGCTCAATCTGGGCTCACTGCAAGCTCCACCTCCGGGCTCACGCCATTCTCCTGCCTCAGCCTCCCGAGTAGCTGGGACTACAGGCGCCCGCCACCACGCCCGGCTAATTTTTTGTGTGTGTGTTTTTAGTAGAGACGGGGTTTCACCGTATTAGCCAGGATGGTCTCGATCTCCTGACCTCGTGATCCGCACCTCGGCCTCCCAAAGTGCTGGGATTACAGGCTTGAGCCACCGCGACCGGCCTATTATGTCTATTTTATAAATAAAATTGATATAAAATCATTTGTTAGTAGAGGAGAAAAGGAGGTTGTAGGACAGGGAAGAGACAAATAATTGAGAATTTTCATTTTGGACATTTTTTTTAAAAAGATGGGAAATATAGTACAATTACTAGGAAGAGACATTTGCCCATTTGAAGTCTGTGTTTACAATCTGAAGACAGAACAATTTAGAGAGTAGTGTGACATCCAGCAACTTAAAACTGTAACAGAAAATGACTATTTTAATCTTCTACCCACAACCCTCCAACATGTACAAATACACACACACACACACACAAACACAGCCACATACTGATATTTATATATGTTGCAATTTTAATAAAGTTTGCAGATTTGAATAACTTTGTGGGGTTTGTTGTGCCTTTTTAACTTTCTAAACTGGGCCAAAGCATTGCTTGACTCTCCTAACTGGTTTTAATACACACTTATCTTTTCACATCCTAATGTATACTTGTTCCAGCTGATTTCAGACAAAATCCATTAAAATTGGTAAAGGCAACACTGATAATGTTCTAAAATGATTGAATAGGTTCACATCGTAATTAATTTGCATGTAAACTGTGACAATTTAGCAGGAAACACACCCAATAGGTGAATTGCTTTTTTTTTTTTTTTGGTTGGTTTCCTTTTTGACTTTTTCTCTGTTTCACATACACATTGTTGGCTCTACAGATTCCGTGATCGGCAAACCAATCCTCTTTATCTCTAGGCTCTGATTTTTGTCCTCTGGAACTCTGAAATAGAGAAAAATCTATATCTCCCCTGAACAGATTGTGGATGGCAGCAGATCCCTTCTTTAGTCCTGCCTTTTGCTTTTCAGAGAAGTAGGTAATCTCAATAGCACAAGATGTTAACAAAAGAACCATATTGATATCTCCGCAAATCATTCCCTATTTTTCTTTTGTAATGTGTTCTCATCCTTGTTGTGGTCACTTATAACTTAGTCACATTTGGAAATATGTTATATATATGTACAGTTTGGTAAAATCATAGTGGTAACTGAGAGGTTGTGTCTATTGTTATATTTACTGAGCATATACATGCATCACATACTCTAAGAGGTAAATTACATAAGTTATTGCCTGCAGTATGTGTAATTAGTACAACTTATCTTCCAGAAATGTGCTATTATACCATTAAAAGATGTGCAAACTGAGAGCCAGTGCTTATTAAAGGCAATGAACCAAATAAGTGGCAAAGCTAAAATTTGACTGAAGTTAGTCTCTATCCAAAGTCTAAAGATTTGTTTCCAAATTCCATTAAAAATAAACGAATGGCATAAGAACTGTATCTACCATATGTGCAATAATGTTCTGGGGGAATTCAGAAATGGTTAATTAAATGGGGCCAATGATGTTTCAATAGAAAAGTTCTATCAATTGGATCCCTTTAATGTGTGAAGTAAAATTCAAAACATAGTAGAAATGTACTGGAAAGATTTAGGGGACTTTAGAAAGGAAAATTCTGGCTTGAGGAATGTGATAAGGAAACCATCAATGTCAATAATGACTAGTTTGTAACAATGAGCAGAACATATGGTTAGGGACACTGTGTGTAAAACTGCCAACCCTGATATATGAATATTGGCAGCCTGAGGAATCTTTAGATAGACAGAGAAGGACAATGACAGTGCCACTTTGAAAATGACTTGAGGCCTATGTGTATGCTCAATGTGACTGCAGAGTTCCGGGAATAACCTATCCCTACCTACACTTTAATTTTGCCACTCTGAGGGCCTAATGCTGAGCAGAACAATGAATTTAAAACCTGATTTTCACTGTTCACCTAAGCCTGTGGTGTAATTCTCAATTACCTACAGTGACCGAAAGGCCTGGGCTTATACAACGCAAGAGACCCGCAGAGAAATTATTTCAGCACACTACATGCAATTGACTTGCAGTAAAAAAAGGAAAAAGAATAATGACATAAGGCATCCTGAGATATGAAAATGAAATCCCATTTTATCTAACCAATCTTCCTAGAGTCCCAAATTAACCCTGGCAATATGGAATTTATTTTGGACACACTTTCTGGACAATGCTTCAGAGACACTGTTCTCTTTTTAGCTTGTTCTGTTCTTTATGAGGTTGATGGCCTCTATACATTTTTTTCTGAGTTAAAAATAATCAGACTTTATGTCATGTTCCAAGTTTTTTTTTCAAGGTAGTAATATAAATAGCATTTATTATATAACACCTACTCTTCCTCTTATGCCCTCAAACACATATTCACCTATACACTCAGTAGGGGAAAGTACTAGAATTCACATTTCAACTGCTTGCTTTCAATACAGTCTTTAATTTTCTCCATGAATAAGTATATATGCTTACCACTTGGCAGTCCTTTTATAAAGCAACATTGAATAAGCAAGGAAATGGTAAAGCATAGCTAATCACACATTCTCAAATGAAGATCAAGCTTCCCATGCATTAAAATAAAAAGAAATTATGAGACTTCATTTGACAATTTTGCATGCTGTAGAATATGTAAATCTCTACTATACTAAGTTAATTTGATCTATTTTTAGTTACATCATTTTTTCACAGTAACCAAACCTTACCCTGGAGTTGCCACATTTTGACTTTGCCAACCTTTGCAAATGTGAATAAACTTCTGTTTACTAATTAGTCATATAAAGTTACATTTTACTAAAATGGCTTTTTAAATTCATATCAACTAAATATCTTGTAGTGTTTTCTGATCAGCTCTTCAGACTTTTCCTTTAAAGTGCCATTTTTCTTCTCCCTTCTTTTCTCTCCTCTATTTTTCTCCTTTCCATTCTCATATTTCACCTGCTCTTTCTTTCTCTCATCATCTTGCTAGTTCTATCACTGATCCCCTAGAAACTTTCCTCTCATCCATTAGGGGCTGTACAGCATATATCATTATTATTATTATCAACATAATCATCTGTGGCTGACTCATAAAATTCTGTCTCCCAGTCAAAGCTATTTTCCCAAGCCACAATCTAATATTGCCAACTGACTCTTGGCTATCTCTTCAAAATGTTTGGCTAACACCTCAACATCAGCATATTTCAAACCAAAACTATTATGTTTCTAACCAGATCTTACAACTTTCTTCTCACTTTCTACTACTGACAGTGCCACTTTTTTTCTTCCAGGATCAAGCTATAAAACTCTTATTTTTAGCTCCACTATGTTATGTGTAATCCTTTCTCTAAATGTCTCCAATTTGTTTACTTTTCCCTTTTTTATTCTTATACTAAGTTAAAGGCATTCATTATATCTTTTTGGTTGTAACTATAAATTACAGCTTTTTTATCTTATAACACAACCATCAGAGTGCTAATCAACCATTGTGTATTCAGTCAATATAGTTTAGTAATCTATTAAAAATCTTGGATTGTGTAGACAGTATCCCCACTAGGCCAACGCCATCCCTATATTGGGCTCTTATTCTAATTCATCTGTTCCCACAACTTATTATGTAAGGGACAAAAACTAGGAACACTTTTCCTACTGCCTCCCACCCCCTCACCATATAGTTTGGTCTCACTGCCATGATATGAAAGGTCAGCACTCCTGTTCTGTGACAGTCATCCTACATACCTAATTAACAAAAGAGATGATAGTTTAATTGGGGGACTATATGAATCTGAAAGAACTTGAGATGGAACTTAATACATAATTTGAGAATTATCGATAAAACAAGATAAGTGGAGCTTGATTCATTGGATTGGTAGAAGTGACGAGTAGGGCTGCTTCATGAGCCTGTGACCTCTGCAGTTGCATAAAGCCCCGTATTCAGAATTGGCCTCATGCTTGGTATTAATGCTCTGCTGTGGTCATCCTGAAATTCCCAATAATTTTTAACAATCCCGACATTTTCATTTTGCACTGTTTTCTCATTCTCCCAATTATGTAGCTAGTCCTGGTGGTAAGAAAAACATTGAGGCTAGTGTCCAGAATTATTATTATTATTACTATTACTAATATTATTATTATTTTTGAGACAGAGTTTCATTCTTTTTGCCCAGCCTGGAGCGCAATGGCGCAATCTCAACTCACTGCAACCTCCGCCTGCCAGGTTCAAGCGATTATCTTGCCTCAGCCTCCCGAGTAGCTGGGATTATAGGTACCTGCCACCATGCCCGGCTAATCTTGTATTTTTAGTAGAAACAGAATTTCACCATGTTGGCCAGGCTGGTGGTCTCAAACTCCTGATCTCAGGTGATACACCCGCCTTGGCCTTCCAAAGTGCTAGGATCATAGGCGTGAGTCACCCTGCCCGGTTGCGTCCACAGTTTTATGTGGGCAATTGTGGAGGAGTTATGTGTATATGTGTGTGTGTTTAGAAGGGGTAAGTGTGTGTGCGTGTGTGTGTGTGTGTGTGTAAATAATAGTTCCTTCAATGTCGTGAAAAGCCCTAAATGAGAAACAGGTCTGGCATCTTCTTAAATCTCCTGTGTTTACAGGGACTTTATCTAATATTTTACTTTTTCTCTTTTTCCTTAGCACCTTATTATCTTTTATAGTTAACTTTCTCTTTAACTAGGTAAATTATCTTCCATTCAAACAATGATAATAATAATTTAACATTTCTTTCTTGAATTCCATGATGCTTTGTTTCAATTTTACGATTCTCTTCTTCCTTTATTGAAAAATAATTCCACCTTGTTCTGTATTTTTTTCATTTACTGCCAGGCTGTCTTCTTTTGCCACCAATTTCTTGACTGCCAATTCCAGTGTTACAAATAGCCAAACTTAACATGAGAGTTCACTTCTTATGCTACCAAAGTTAATATGATTCATTTATCTAAGCTTGGCAGCCTCCTCTATTTCATTAATTTTGTGACCCTAAACTCGTATTTTTTGTCTTGCATCTATGACTGCTTATTTTCCACTTGAAAGGATTCTCCCCCTTAACTCACACTACAATACTAATACTGTTTAGGGTTCTGTCCTTCTTTCTGCCATCCTTGAAAAAAATCCATGAAAAACAGATATTGAACAATTATATATAAATGTCTCCTCAAATTTTATGTTGAACTCTGAATTGTTCTCTTAGCATGAAACAACCAACAGGACAATAATTTGTTGATATCTAATGGTCCTATCAAAGTCAATGTGACCTCAAATCAATTTATTATCTCCTTCCTTCAAACTAGTCCTCCTCTGACAGTGCCCTCCCTGACGATACAAATGCTCTAGCCAGATTAATGAGAACAGCCTGGAATTGTCCCTTGCTCATCACACCCATCCATTTCCAAAGTCAATAACCAAAGTCATCCTATTTTAATTTTTTATTATTTTAAAATAGTTTAGCCCGTCTTCATACTTGTTTCTCTAACAAAACTTATGTAGCCAATAAACTCGTAATAACATTCTAGATTATTCTGGATAACTTCTAAACTGGTCCCCATGTATTGAATTTTACTCCCCTAAGCTTGGCCACTTTGCCAGCGGGGCAGAGACCTAGTTGTGAAATCAAATATTACCATTTCATTATCCTGGTTTAAATCACCAATTTAATGTAGTCCAAGGCCCCTAACACAAATATAACTTCTGCATGGTCACTTTGCCCTGATTTTCCATTTCATGTTTCCAGCCTGCTTCTACCTGACTTTCTTTTTGTATACAAGGTTTTATGAACATCTTTAAACACCCTGTCATGCTCTCTGCCTTCTTCCTGTCATTTTAGAGTAATATCTCTTTATTGTCCAACTTAGCTCTTCTAGGAAACTTTCTCTACCTACTCAAGATGAATTAAGAAACTTTCATGACACCCTATGCGTGCCTTTATGATAGTATTGCATTATGGTGAAATGTTGACATTTATGCATCCTCCACTGTATTATAAGCTTCTTGAGGTATAGGCTATAGCTTACCATTGTTGCAGTCCATAAACCTTGCACTTAGGTTGACCTGCAATCAGTTGAAGCAAATGCTGGGATAGAAAACTTTAAAGTATACTTTCTGTTGGTTCTCAAAGACTTTAGAGTTTACCTCGGCATAAGGATATGATTATGGACACATTATGTTACTCTCTGCTGAGTACCTAGGTATGAATGAAAACAAAGTGATACTGGAAGCCTAGATACAGGAGTAATTAATGCTTGAGATTGTCCGGCAATGGCCCAGAAAAGGAGGTTGAATTTTGTAAATGTTGTATTCCATTTTATTCATCTTCTCAGAAATGCCTGAGTTCTATAGTAAGTCTGCTTTGGGGATCTTAAGAGAGAGTATAAAAGTCAATCAAAACATATCATAAATATGATATGTGCTATAACAGTGTACAGCCATCCAGAATATTCTGTGGAACTATTTTTAAATTTAAATAGCTAGGGCCACATTCTTTGGAGATTCTGATGCATAGGTCTCTAGAGAGATACTTGCTTTTTAAAATATTTTATTTTGTTTTAAAAGTTTTTCCATTCATCAGTTTCTATTTTAGGTGTCTTTATTATTTAAAACCTACCTCAAATTCTACCTATCCCAACAATGCTTTATCAACTCATTGAAAGTAATTATTTTTTAATATATAAGGGACATTATCCTTACATAGCTTATGGAATTTATGGTATTGCATTTCATTTTAGTAACTTCTTTCTAGTTTCTTAGCTTCTTTATATCCCTCTACAAAACCTAGATCATTGCTTTGTTAGCTGATATTCTGTTTGTATTTTCTGAATAAATCTAGTCAGGTGTACATATATTCATGTATGTATGTATATATATTTATGTTCACAGAGACCCATATTGTTTTGGTAATGTGTAAGAAAAAACAATAGAAATTTCAGAATTTTCTAGTGTATCCCCTGACTGAGCATTAAGACAATTTAAATCCATTTTATTTCCCAATTAGCAATAACATGATAGAGAAATGGATATGAACAGAAATTATGAAAGGAAGACAAGAAAATGATCAATAAACATTCTAGTAACCACATGAACAGAAATTAAAACAATGAGGTATTAATTTTCAACTATTGAATAAGCAAATAGAAGAAAATGGTATTGTTAGAAGGTAGTGAGGAACTATTTAACCTTTTACACTTCACTAATGGTGTTGGGAACCAGTAAAGTAATCATGAGTTTCAAGAAATATTCATATATTTTACTTAGTAGTTTCAATTTCAGTAATCTTTTCAAATGCCATAGTCAAAGACCCAGGAAAGATTTATAAACTGTGATGTTCATTAAATCATTGTTTATATCAAAAACTTGGGAACGACATTAATATTCAGTAATAGAGAAAATCCAAAACATGTACACTGTAGAATATAATGCTGATAATTTACTGAAAATATTGCATAAGAACTTCTAGTGACAGAAAAATCTGATATATTAAATGTTAAGAGGCACAATATATGCATCATTTTTCAAAGTCTCTCATAAGATGTTCCTAAGGAAAACAGTAATTTTGAGTTACTATATATTACTATACTTTAGTGAATGGGCATAAATGCACATTGGTAAATTGAATATCGTTCTGAAAAGATCAATGATTTGGTCAACCTTAAGTTCTGATTCATTGAATATTAATAAAATAACCCTTTTTTGTGAACAAAAGTCATTAAAATGATTTTGAACATTTGCCTCTTTACTGGTACTGTAAATATTGTGTCCTGAGTGCAATATATTTCTTTGGTGGTTAAGAATCTTAAAATGCCTCAGGATCTTCTAAATGTCAATTTTCATTACATAGCGCCAAAATGTTAAATGCAGATATGGGAGGTTGAACTGTGTGAGTACTATCCCCAGGATATTCTATGGAAGGTGTAGTTTCTCTTTTAATGAAAAGCTTCCAGGTAAGATTTTGTTTATTTGTGACTTGCCTCTTTCTGCTATAAGGGAAGCACAGGAAGCAAATGTGATTTATAATAGTAGTACACATTTACTGAGCACTTACAACTGGGATTTAGCTAGCCATTATCCAAGTCTTTGTTATGCCAAAGACTATACTAGACCTTTTGGCATGCTTAAAGTTTTTTTTTTTTTTTTTTTTTAAAGCTTGCAACAGCTCTATCAGATGAGGGTAGTATCCTAGTCTAAAAGTGAGGTAGTATGTTCAGACAGTAAAACAACCTGGTTCAACAACTCTATATTTAATATGAGTGGTCAACGTATGGCTTGACTCTATGTCTTCCAATGCCAGTCTTGAGTTATGTATATTTTACCTAGCTGCATTAAGACATTTATTGTACCAGATACACATTTGTAGCTTGCATTCAATTAAGAAACAGATATGCAAATATATAATGATAAAAAAACAAGTTTATATACATTTTACTATATGCCTGATAGTTTTCTATGCATATTTAATTTTCCTAGGAAACCTAGAAATAGGCGTGATGGTTTATTATATGTTTCAATGTGACTGGGCTAAGTGATGCTTAGATAGCTGGTAAAACAGTACTTCAAAGTGTGTCCAAGGGTATTTCTGGAAGACCTTAGCATTAACCATGGTAGACTACCCTTGTCAATGTGGGTGTGCATCATCCAATCCATTGAGTGCCTGAGTAGAATAAAAAGGAAGAGGAAAGGACAAATTTGCTTTCTGCTTGAGCTGGAATATCTTTTCCTGTCCTTGAGCATTGGTGCTCAAGCCTTCACGTTTGGACTGGAAATACACCAGCAGCTTTCCTAGGCCTCCAGCTTGCAGGCGCAGATCATGGGACCTCTTAGCCTCCGTAATTGCATGAGCTTTTTCTCTATATATCTTTTTCTACATCTCTCTCTCTCTCTCTCTCTCTATATATATATATATATATATATATATTCTCTTTATATATACACACAGAGACACACATGTACATCTCTCTCTCTCTCTCTCTCTCTCTCTCTCTCTCTCTCTCTCTCTCTCTCTCTCTATATATATATATATATATATATATATATATATATATACTGGAAGAGGTTAGCATTTGACTTGGTAGACTGAGAAAAGCAAAAAATGTTATTGCTAGAGGGTAGTGAGGAACTAATTAATCTTTTACTCCTCACTAGTGGTGTTGGGAAGCAATAAAGTAATCATGAGTTTTGAGAAACATTCATATATTTTACTGAGTAGTTTCAATTTCAGTAGCCTTTTCAAGTTCCATAGTCAGAGACCCAGGAAAAATTTATAAACGGAGATGTTCATTAAAGCATTGTTTATATCAAAAACTTGGGATGACATTAATGTTCAATGATAGAGAAAGTTATTAACAACATTACTTATTATATCAGTCAGGATTCTCCAGAAAAATCGAACTAAGGGGATAGAGAGGTGTATAAATATATGTATATATGTATACATATATGTGTATATATGTATACATATATGTGTATATATGTATACATATATGTGTATATATGTGTATATGTGTGTGTATATACATGTATGCACATATACACACATATAGATATACACCCCACCAGATTGCATTCATTCAGTTGACAAAGCTGATACCGTTTTGTCACCACTTGAACCATACCCATTCCTTGCTTTTTCTGTAGCCACCTCTGCTTTATTCCTCTTTCAAGATTCAGAACAAAGAATACAGCTCAAAGAATACCTCCTCTCAGAAAGCATTTTCTCCAACAGGTTTAACTAGTCTCTAATTTTTTAGGCTAAAAAATACTTTTAATAGTCTGCCAATATGCCATTTTAGCAACTTGTGTTATAGTTAGAGGAAGCGTGGCATAATAATTAAGGGCACAGTATCTGGAACTAAACAAACATGAAAATTTACGTAAATATATGAGCCGAATATCTTCATCAGTAAAATGGCCATAACATTACCTATTGTATCAGTCAGGGTTCTCCAGGGAAACAGAACTAAGAGGATAGATAGAGAGGTATATCTATATATCTATTATCTATATATCGATATCTATATATTTGTCTATCTATATGCGTGTATATGTGTGTGTACACAGAAAAGATATATAGAGGTATATCTATGTATAATATCTATTTATCTCTATATATATGTGTATATATCTATATGTGTGTATATGTGTGTGCTACAGAAAAAGCAAGGAATAGGTGTAGTTCAAGTGGTGAGGAAAATAGAGGAGTTAGAGATGGTATCAGCTTTGTCAACTGAATGAATGCAATCTGGTGAGGCTAACAAAAATATACATTAATTAAAACCAAACGAATTAGCTATAATCTTAAAATACAATATTCCAAATAAGTTCTCAATATTTTTGTAATTCATCTTTAATAGTGCAGAGATAGTAATAGCACCACATTCATTGTGGTGCTTTGCTATTATTAAGGATGTCTAAATTTATATTTACACTTTTGATAACTGTGTCATATAATTGATTTTTACTGAAATTATTGTCTGTAGAAATATCTAAATCATATTCACAGGTTTTGGTTCTAAGTCTGTCCCCACTACCATATATTTAATACATTCATACTTGGGGATACAGCTATGGAATTTCTACTTCATTATATTTGAGATGTCACCCAAGTTTTTCAAGATCCTTTATGAAATTTGTAGTTCTTCATCCAAATATACTGGCTCTGTTAAGGGACAATTTCTTCATGAATGATTTTGGTGTTAATGGTATTGATAAAAGCCAGTTTCAGGGCAGGTTTGGAGTTGGAGCTCTACAGCTATCTATTGGAAACCTTCCTTGAGTAAGCACTTTTGACATTTTTAAACATGCTTAGGTAGTTGCTTACTACAGCAACACCCAAAAATTGTAGCAACACCCAAAAGTTGTACTTAAACACCCAACACTCAAAAATTGTAGTAGCAACACCCAAAAATTGTACTTAAAATTCTCCATGTGGGCTATAACGAAATCATGAGGGCTACGATGATGATGATGTAGAAATCATATACTTTTTTTTTTCTATTTCCAGTCTTGCATGTCCGGAATAGAAAGAAATGACATTTTTCTGGAATGACTTATTTGTGAATGTAATGCAAACCCAGGTGGTCCCACTGTTTTCTCCTCTAGCAGTCTGTTCATCGCTTTAATAAGTCATCTTATACCTTTTCCACTTTCCACATTTAGTTCAATAATTTCTAATTTATAGCATCCATATTCATTTAAATTTTGAAAGTTAGGAAAATATTTGCTTAACTCTAGTCTTTCTGCACTACTTTATTCTCAACAAATCCCCAGTTTACCCACAGTTGTTTTTTTTTTTTTTTAAGTCTGGCATATACTTTATATTTTCTATTTTAATACTTAAAGCTAGACTTCATCATCTATTATATTTTCACTTATTTTGGAACTCAGTGTCCTCATTTCATCATTTGTAGTACAACAATTATCTGTTTTACAGAAATAAAATATGTGTGTAATAGAAATTGAGGAGTTTTACCATTTGCTTTGTCAATTATTCATACTACCACATGAGAGCCAGAAAAGCTCATTGGTTCTTTGATATTATACATGCATTGAAGAAAAATCTAAAAAGTGAACACATGGATCTAATTATTATTATGAGTAAGGAATATGCTACTTTTTAGAATTAATTGCACATACGGTTATCTTTGAAACCTTCTTGATAGATGTCTTTCATTTTAATGCATTAATGTTTTACCAGTACTCTGCAATTCTTTTTTTTTTTTTTTTTTTTTGAGATGGAATCTCGCTCTGTCTCCCAGGCTGGAGTGCAGTGGCGCAATCTCAGCTCATTGCAACCTCCACCTCCTGGGTTCACGCCATTCTCCTGCCTCAGCCTCCTGAGTAGCTGGGACTACAGGCGCCCGCCACCACGCCAGGGTAATTTTTTTATTTTTTTATTTTTTTATTGTTAGTAGAGATGGGGTTTCACTGTGTTAGCCAGGATGGTCTCTACCTCCTGACCTCATGATCCGCCCTCCTCGGCCTCCCAAAGTGCTGGGATTACAGGCATGAGCCACCGCACCTGTCCTACTCTGTAATTCTTAAACTGAAGAGAGATGACAGAATGAGTAAAGGTTAACTAAATTAGATCATCTTTCATAGTATAGAGATCACTTTTTTATCAATTTGTTTTCTCTTTTGTTCTTTTAACAAAAATACACAAACTATAGTTCTTGCTAACCAAACACATAAAATAAATAGTTGCAGAGAAATTTCCTATTGCTTTATAATTTACTAGCTCTTTTTCTTTATATAAAAATCAGATCACATATTTTGATATTATTCTTGTAAACAAAAATAGTAACTACATAGAGGTGATAGATATGTTAATTAGTTATAAGATGATCATTTCACATTGTATATGCATATCAAAATATCAAGTTGTATACCTTAAATATATAATAATTTTTATGCCAATGATATCTCAATAAAGCTGTTAATGAGCCAATGCACCATGTTTGTGCAGTTGACCGCTCTAAAAACTGAATTATAACAAGAGTTTTCTCTCTAAATTTTGTTTACATTGCTCCCTTATTCAGGTTTGGAAACATCACATAACTTGCTAAATTTTCAGGGTAAAATTAAGCATGAGATGCCATCTAAAGAGACAATTTTCTGAGTCTCTCTCTCAGAAAATGATCATAGTTTAGCATGACAATTTTATCTTTCCAGTTTCTATAGTCTGACCAGCATCAATCGTGTGTTAGATGTGTCTCTGTCTCCAGCTAAAATGATTCTAATAACTCTCCCAAGGTAACCCAAGTGGGAATTCAGTATCAGAAATGTCCATGCTTTCACTTTCAGAGATTAGTTCTGTAATAAATTCTGGTGATTGATACACTGTCCACTTTTTTGAAGTAATCTTAGACATAAAGAGAAAACAAGCACCTGCCTACCACCTGGCTTTCCCTAGCAGCAAATTCCACATTGGTTCACTTGTTTCCTTCTTCTTCTTCTTCTTCTTCTTTTCTTTTGTGTTTCTTTATTTGTTTTGAGCTGAAAATACAAGAGATGCACTAAGTGGCTGACAAGTCCACTTTTCAATGGCTAGGGAAAATTGGCACAGTTTCAGAATGTCAAACTCCAGAAGCCATTTAAACCCAGTGTGTATGCATCATTGGGATTGTGGAGAATCTAGAGCCCTTATTCCAAGAGTGTGGCTTCATAGATACAAATCCTTCCTTGATGAATGAATTCTTTCTCTAGAAATGGATTGTATTGGTTGGCAGTATTGACAATTCCCTCTGCATGTCGTTGCACTGAGGAGCAAGTGCCTGTTGACTTCCATTATGACTGTCCACTGGATGCACTTATTACAGTCTTATCCAGGGAAAACCACCAAGGAAGGCCAGCAAAAACAGGTTTTGTTTTGAAGTGTATCCCTAAGATGCTCATTGCTTGTGTCTCAGCCACTGCTTCAGTAGCAAGCTGGCAAACAAACATTTTATTTCATTCAACTAGAGGCAGTCAAATAAACAGAGTTAGGGTTTTCTAGAGAATGTCATAACGTGAATTTTAACAATTAAACTATAGGACCTCTTACAGACTTAAAGTTTCTTTTTCTATCCCTTTTATTTTTCATAGCTATTTCTTTCTTTGGGCACTCAGGGCTTCATCAACATAGAAAGATTGGAAATGTATTCTCTCATACCTCTTTCAATAAACAAAAATAAATTAAGAATTTGTGTCTGGACACTACACAAGGAGAATCCCTCATTTAAAACAGTAGCTGCATAATAAAGAATATATAATGCGCAATATAATACTGGCATATTATCTTGATGCTGCTGTTTCCGTTCCACTTTTTTCTAAAAGTTTAAATTTTGGAAATTTCCAAATTCTAATTGACTTCTAACATCTTCCTTAAGAGCAACAGAACACTGAAATGTGCAATTCCTTCCCAATTAGAAATAATTCAATTCCTGTTCTACCTCATTGCTCCTGTTGGTTTGTTTAGTCTTTCCGAAAGCTAAATCAAATTAAATCCTTCCACATTTCACATCACTCAAGCAAAATAGTCAAATATAACTTTAGCCGATTCAAACATTCACTCTCAGACCCAAGAAACTTCCAAGAAATACAACTTACCTTATCTTTTCAACCTCTTTGATCTTTCTCAGGGAAGAAGAAAAGAGGGGAGTAATTAGAAATTATACAACCTTTAACAAAAGTTTATCATAAGTTTGTACAAGGATACAGATTTTTTAAATCTTCACAGAGACCTGCTAAAGTGAGGATTGCCTTCCAGGTTTTAGAGTGGCCTCCTGAGGCTCAGAGAAGGGTAAAAGCTTACACAGGTTCACATGTAAAGGTATGTCCCAGCCGTGATTTGAATCCACGTCTTCTTGCCTTTAGAGCTTGTACACCCTATCACTCTACCTCTCTTAGTCTTAAGTCCTTGTTCCTTTAACATTCTGAACCTGGGCATTTGTAGTTTTATCAACTAAGCAGAAAAAGTAATATCTTTCTCTTAGTGTTTGCAATGATGGAGGGTCTTGTACAATTCTTATTATATCTGCCAAGGGGCCCTTAGACTAGTCATTCAATTTAGATAAACTCCTACACTTGTTTACTTTAAATAAGGATGCTTGATGTGCTCAATGGGTGAGTGTGGGTGACTTCGTGCGGGGAGAAAGTACTAAAGTTATTTCAGCTGTCCAGATCAATTTTGAATGCAGCCCATCAGACCTTAAATCCCTGTTATCAAAAGCTATGTACATTGCAAATCGATTTAATTTATTCTGGAGTGATAAGAGGTGAGAAGTTTGTGTGTGTGTAGGTTTCCTGGCACAATCAAAGGGGGTTGGAAAAGCATCACAGCTTCTATTCGTCTTCACAAATATAAATGCTGACCTCCAAGGGGAAGCTCTGTCTGATATAAACCCTCCATACCTTGAGTACTTTGGGTGAAGGCGTTAAAGGACATCACTCAAGCGAAATCTCATGGCTACCACTGGACTATGGATCACTGATGAATGAGCCAGCAGTTGAATGTTTAGCAGGCTGTGACGACTTTGCACGGGAATATGAAAATTTATTACCAGCTTGCCACATCAGCGCCTGCCCTGCCTTATTTCCTGGGTCCCTCCCGGTGGCTACTCCCACTCCATCTGACAGTCAAACCCCTCTCGCTCCCCAGTTTCCCCTCCCCCGCAGAGAATTGATGGTCTAAACTGTCACGGAGTCCTGGCCGTCATTTTTCAAGAAATCTGGTACCCAAGATGATGCCGTTGGATCAGGGATTTTATTTAGGAGTAGTAGTATGCGCTGAATTGTTTTCTACATGACCTTGCTGAGGGGGTTAAAGGGTGTCCGTTTTGCTTGCTGTGGAATTTGTGCAGCCCCAAAAGTATGCACGGTGGGGGGTTGGGGGGGAGAAGGAGGCAGAAGGGAAAGGAGCCGCGGAGAGGAGAGCCAGGGAGAAGAGGAAGGAGGAGAGACCGGGAGAGCGCAGCATCAGGCAGACAGGCGCCGCCAGCCAATCAGAGGCGCGCTCGGGAGCTGCAGAGACCCAGCCTCGGAGCCCAGGGCTCGAGGTGCGCGGAGCCTGAGTCTGGGCTTTCCGAGGACGGCGAGCAGCTGTGCCCAGAGCTCTGGGAAAGTCCCCTCTCTTTGCTTCTTATAAATTAAGTTCCTTTCCACCAGTTAGGGCAAGTCCGCCAAGGTAAGGCTTCAATAAATGACACTTTACTCTCTAGTGACATGAATATTTTTGTGTACAGCGGGGCTGCTTTACCCAGTTCTGAGTCAAAGCAATATTGGGTGAAATCTTCATCTCCGATGGGTTTCACAGGATCGAGGGCTGAGGGGAAAGTTGTAGCTAATGCAGGCTGCCTTATCGCTGGTATACATTTGAATTTTCTTATGCAGGAATGCTGCCATAGAGCCTATCGAATGCGAGTCTCAGAATCCAGCTGCGTGTCTGTTTATGTTTATCTGTGCCTGTGCTGTTGTCTTCCCTGAAGAAGTTGGAAGAATACTCTGCAAGGCACATTGCAATAATGATGGCATCAGTATAAGCTGTCATTTATGTCTATCTGTAAAAGTGAGGGGACGCATGGTCAGAATAGAAACAGGGGCACTGAAATTGAATTTTCGATAGTGCTTTTTTTAATTATTGCCTTTCCAGTATCCTCTAAAATTACGTGATTTCTGAGCACTGAAACTGCAGCAGGACAAGCCTCATTTATATTCTTTCATTCTTTTTTTTTTTCTTCCCACGAATCCCTGCCTTAAATGCTTATTAAAGCTTAAGATGAAACTTTTGCTTCTTTTAAAGGGCACTTATAAATGATGCATGAAAAGAAATTAGGTAGGCTCCTGTGATCAGCAACACACTTTATTTATGTTTGTTAACTCTCATTCATTTCTTTTTCTTAACTTCTTGTTTTAGTGTGGAAGTAACTATTATTTTGTCTTGATTTTTATGTCTGCAAAACAAGGTAAATTATGCCTTATGCGTGTGTGTGTGTGTGTGTGTGTGTGTGTGTGTGTGTTGTCTGTACAGATGTGGCTCTAGGCAAACCTCTCATATGTAACAGGTGAAAAAATAGAATTTTATTAGCTAGGGCTATTAAAATATTTTTATTTCAATGTCTCATTGCATTTAATGTTGTAGTCAAGAATAAATGTTCCTTGCTTTTTTCCTGTTGGAAGTCAAGAAAAAATAAAATAAAAATCTTAGCTAAAAGTATTATGGTTTTCGGTTTGCTCAGGTGATGGCATCACTGCTTTGAGCCGAGAGACAGATCAGAGGAAGATTTTGTTATGCAGCCAAAAAAACTAACTACAGGCTCTGACTGTGTTTTCAAACCTTTATTTTTCACTCTGGGATCACCCACAGATTTTTCAAAGCAGGGGACTTTGCTCCTGCAATAATTGTTCTTTTTTATTTTAGTGTATTTGTCTTACCAGAGAAAATGCTTAATTCTAAATCAGGAGTTTGAGGTCCAGCCTAGATCTTACATATACCTTGTTGGGATGTGGGAGGAAGAAGATAGGATGTGATACTCGTAGATAATGAGTTCCATTGTGTAACACTCTGGTGCTATCACCTATTATGATTGCAGTTGCCCTCAAGCCTCCTGTTGTTTATTTAATTCTGGATATCTTAATAATAAATTGACCTGGTATAGGTCAACTGATGCACTTCCCCTAGAAGACATTCACTTAGTGCACCTTGGTGAGTATTTTATGAACTATACTTCTGATGCTTTTTCTCAGAGATAGCCAACTTAAAAAACCAACCAAACAAACAAAAAGGAACTGATACCAATGGTCAAGATTGATTGCCTCTCTGAAAACAATGGGAGGTAGAAAATGAGCATTGGCTATTATACATGCAACAGAAATGCCCAGCTGAAGATAACCCAATAGCAAAGGAGAATATAATAGTAGAAGGACAGTGAGTGGCAGGAAACTCTAGCTGTAACTGTATCCAGTGCAGACTGATTATAATTAGCTATAGCAGTCACAAGTATGAGCAATAGCACCCGGTGCTAGAATGAAGTCCATACATTGTGCAATCTGGAAATTATTATTCCTCTCAATGACTGATTTCAAATAGATATAGTGGACTTGTGAGAATATATGAGTCATTTATTCCAACTTTATAAATTATTTAGATGAAAGCTGCTATAAATATAAAGTACTTTTTGTCCCATTGGCTGATATAAATAGCATTATTATGCTTTGCATTGATTTTTGCAGTCTGATGAATACAAACCACATGTTTGCAAGTTTTTGGGTCCCAACAGCTCTGTATTTAACTTATTGCACAGAAGTATACCTTAAGTATCTGCAACCTGACTTAACTGTCTTTCAGACTCTAAACATGCATGTAACACTTCAACCAAGCTAGGATAAAACATATTGAACTTATTGACCAGGAAAAACTTACTTCTTTTGAATCCATATATCTGACACAGTGAAGTCTAGTGAAGAATGAGAGAGATTGAGACATTAAAGACAAAGCATGTATATGGTGTTCTTTGTCTTTCTTTTTTTTTTAATTAAGTACAGAACTTTAGGCCCTCATGTGCTTAATTGTATGACTTCATTATACTTGCATTATACATATCTATAATACTGCATTTTAGATTAGGCCTTCTTAACCTTGGTGCTGTTGGTATTGTGAGCTCTATCATTCTCCTGGGGGACTTTTCTGTGTATTGTAGGCTCCTTAGTAGCATACCTATTCTCTACCCACTAGATCCCAGTAGTAGCACCTCCAACTTGTGTCAATAAAAAAATCTCTCTATACATTGTTAGACATTGTTAACTATCCCCTGGGGAGGATGCAAAATTACATTGAGAACCACTGCTTAGAGCAATTTTGAGCAGTGGTTCTCAATGCAATTTTGAGAACCACTCAGTGGGAACCACTGCTCTAAGCCAAACCAAAGGATGTATATAGAAAAAAGTTCATGCATATGCTGTTTGAGTAGGCAACTGCCCAGTCCAGTTTGGATGCTCTACAGATAAATCCCCTCCTTTTGCTTTGATAATGAATGGTTTTCAATTGGTAGGTGTTTTACTAGATCCCTAACACAGTACTGTGGAAGATCTTGCCAGTAAACTGAGAGACGAGGGCTATATTATCATATGCTAACATTTTTGGGACAAAAGGAAATGAAAACTGAGAGATAGTATAAATGTTGAGGTTGAAGACAAATTTCACTTTAATTTTCTTCAGATGATCCTTTAATATAAATAATAAATAAATAAAGATACTGGTTCTTCTCTATAATTGCTTCTACTATTATATTTTGGGAGTTTGTATATGTGTGGGTTGTAGGGAGGGAGCATTCACTCTGGTTATTCTATATGCTTGGAGTAGTTTCTAGTGTTTAAAGCCTCCAGAAGTAAAATGAGAACAGTTTGATTTAAAAGGTACAGTTTTAGACAAGTGCTGATGTGTAGCACAATGGAAAAGAACTGAGCTTAATGATTTGAAGACATGGCAGAGGGTGCATACTGACATGGATTAACGCATCATGCGTGTCTGATCTGTAGGCCATTTTCTTTATCCATAAAAGGTGATGATAATAGGTGTAAAAACCCAATATACAAGGTTTTATACTGGCTTACAATTTGTAAAGGTCTACACTAATGTTGGTAAATTATCATAGATTCAGTGTCTTTGATGATTTGTCTGATTAAA
This sequence comes from Homo sapiens, assembly GCF_000001405.40. Classification (NCBI taxonomy): domain Eukaryota; kingdom Metazoa; phylum Chordata; class Mammalia; order Primates; family Hominidae; genus Homo; species Homo sapiens. The sequence goes on along the minus strand of NC_000005.10, from coordinate 19,984,587 downwards.
ATGGATTAAGCATGCTGAGTCTTTCAGTTATTCTAGCGTGGTTAAAAATCATCTACAAGAAAGGTTAATATTCTCTGCTATATTATTTTCATGGATGAAAGTGAACATCTAAATTTCTAATATTTTCAAATCTAAAATTTGAAATATGTAATTTAAGATTATGAATACACCTCAATTTTTTTCTTATTTCCATCCTTCCTCATATTATCCACATTTAAAATTTATTATAAAAATGTAGACATATAAAACATAGAATGTGACTTGAGATTTACTCTTAAACAGTAACCATTATTAATGCTTGATGTATATTTTAAAAATAATTTTTCAATGAATAGATTAATATGGATATATACAACTAAAATTATATATTTTTAGAAAGATATAGTGATATACATAGAGAGGCATACAGTCACATAAACCCATGTGCACAAATATATATTTAAATAAAATAAATACAATTTCATAATATTATATGTAACTAATTTTGTAGGATGTTTGTCTTCCATGTGAATAGTAGAGAGGATACATGATTTTTTTATGAGTCCAGTGTGCCATTAGGCATAGGTCTGATGCTTAGTTCAATGTTGAAGACATCCATTTGTTTACAGGTCACTCATTAAGTCAAGGAACTTTGAATTGGTGGGTGTCCCTACCATATTTAGTATTATGCATTTTGATTATTGCATATGGTTGCATAGATATACTATTTATTTAAATAATCCCTTATTACAATCTTTTTAAATGACAAAGAGAAGGCCAACACAAGTTAAACAATTAAGAACCTCTATCACTGCTGGTAGTGTTTTGACTTCTAAGTGTGGTACACGTTCCAGGAAACTATTTCTGGGAAAATTAGCAGGTAGAGAGGAAATGTAGGAGCAGGTGTAAGAGGAGCATTTGCCCTAGTGCACCCTGACATGCTCAGATGTTGCTTTTGTGGATACTAGAAAGTTCTGATATATAAATTTCTACATTGTTGAGCCACATAAATTTAGAAATTTCTTGGTAGGTCTGAGAACAAAATGAACAAAGTTTGATCCCTAAAAATATTGAGTGAAATATTTGCTTTAATCAACGTCCTTCAATGCCAGGACTATGTCTTATTCAAGATTTTACTCAAAACACATGGAATATGATAGATGAATTGTTGGTAAAATAAATTGAAGATGTGCAGACGCCTCCACTGAAAGGGAATTCAACTATCATTTCTGTTTCATTTTATGTTTAGATGATCATAAGGATTCTCAAATAGGTATTTATTGCCATTATTTTGAGGCCTTTAGGATTAATACAGATGACTTACATATGACTTATATGTAACTATGCACAATTAGATATTACTGATAATTTCATTTGATCCAATTATTTTCAGTCTACCTGATATTAAAAGTATTTTAAATAAAAATATCTAGGTTAGATCCACAGTTACCAGTGTGATATAAATGAGATAGGGTGCCATTTCAATCCATCAAATTATACATATATATATTTTTGATATGAGTTACAGATATTTCTCCATTATGTCTTTAATTTTGGCTTTTTTTTTTTTTTTTTCGAGATGGAGTCTTGCTCTGTCGCCCAGGCTGGACGACAGTGGCGCACTGCAAGCTCCACCTCCCAGGTTCAAGCGATTCTCCTGCCTCAGCCTCCCAAGTATCTGGGACTATAGGTGCCTGCCACCAAGCCCGGCTAATTTTTTGTATTATTAGTAGAGATGGGGTTTCACCATGTTAGCCAGGATGGTCATAATCTCCTGACCTCGTGATCCACACGCCTTGGCCTCCCAAAGTGCTGGGATTACAGGTGTGAGCCATGGTGCCTGGCCTCGAATTATAATATTTAAAAGAATTTCTGAAACCAATGTTGACACAGTTATGATAAAACTTTTACTTGTATTTACTCCTGCCTGGTGGAAGTGAAAATCAATATATCGATTTTAAAAAGCAATTTGCAACCCATTGTGAGAGATAGGAAAGTGTAGTTTCCCTTATATACAACTTGTGGGAATAAATTAGGAAATAATTAAAAATATCACAAAAATGAAGAAACTCTTTAATAAGTTAAAATTAATTTAATAATTTGAATCAAAGAATGATAAATGTATGGCAATTAAATATAATTTACTAAGCTTGATACTAAATTTTATGTATGCTATAATTTTTAAAAAATTTTCAGAAAAATTTTGAGAGAAAAATGTGAGTTTTCTAGATTTTTCTGTGTTGTTTATATTGTATTTATTTTTTAATGTCTCATTAGTAGTTTTTACTAATGTGATATAATTTGAATGAGCCATGATAGTGTCCATGAAAATCTATTTTGGTTGTAGTGAATTTTTCTTGTTATGGAGAACCCACTTTTTGAGTCATTTGTTCTATTTAGCTTAGCAATAGATGGGAAAGCGTTGTATGATTAAGATTATAAAATAAACCAGTTCCCAAAGACCAATCAGTAAAGTTCCTATTTTGATAACTAAAATTCTACCTGTAGAAATTTTTTAAAGCAAAAATAAAATCCAATTGCATATTAAATTATATTTTTCCTGTTATATAGTAAATTAAAATTTTGTATTCATTCATTCATGGAGGTTGCCATCTGTTTGGGAAGAAAGCTGGTAAACAAGGGCATAATTAGTATTTTGTAGTATTTGTAGAAAATTGTTAAAGAGAAAAAATGAAAAAGGGATGCAGAAAAAAATTGTCAAGAGATAGATGGTGGTTTGATATTTTATCTATTTGGCTAGGAAGCCTGGGAGGAAGTGTGGATATGAACCATGTTGCTGTCTCAGGAACCATATTCCAGGGAGAGTGAAAAGCAAGTGCAAAAGCCCTAGGGAAGGAGCACCCCTGGCTATCTGACACATAACAAGAACAGCAGAGCTGAGTGAAATAATTGAAATGGAGTGTTATGATCTGAATGTGTCCCTCAAAATTCATGTCTTGGAAACTTTACCTCCAATGCAACAATTTTGAGAAGTGGCATCTTTTGAAAAATGCTTAGGTCATAAGGATGTGAATTACAGCCCTTATTAAGAGAGCTTTTGGGAGTGGGTTCACTTCCTCTTGCCACAACATGAAGACCCAGCAAGAAAGCCCTCACCAGATGCCAGTGCCTCAATCCTGGACTTCTTAGCCTTCATAACTGAACTGTGAGGAAATAAATGCCTGCTCTTTATAAATTATTCTTTCTGTGGTGTTTTGTTATAGCAGCAGAAAATGGACTAACAAATAGCATACAGGAGGTGATAATGTTAAGAAATAATAGAAACCCGATCATGTGTAGATCCTGTAGATCTGTTTAAGAACTTTGGATTTTTCCTACAAGAGTATGGATGGTATTTGATCATTCTGAGCAGAGAGGTGACATTATCTGATCTATATTTCAACAAGAAACTCTTGTCACTCTGTTGCAGATAGACTGAAGAGGAGCAAGAACAGAAACAGGGAGCCAGTTACAGATCTATCCCAAGAATTCTGGGGAGAGATGATGGTGTCTGCAGCAGAGTGACAGCAGTGGAGATTGAGAGAAAAGGTTTGATTCTGTATTTATCATGAAAATAAAGTTGGCAGGATGTGATACTGCTTAAGATATAAGTCTGATGGGGGAAAGTGATGTGAAAGGATAAATTGTGATATTTGTATCCTAAACAATAAGAGGGCTGCAACTGATATTCCCTAAGAAGCGAAATAATTGAGGAGAATCAAGTTGGGCAGGAGAAGGAGAGAGGCAGTAGAAGTAAAGACCTGAGTTTTGCACATATATTGATTGAGATGTCCAAGTGGGGATAAAATGCAGTCAATGGAATACGCAACTGTAGCGTTGCAGGGAGAGCTTTGTGGTGCGGGTATAAAATACAAATTTGTATGCAATATTAGATTGCACTTAAAGTGAAGAGACTGAATATGAGAGAAAATGTTAAAAACATAACGGCCTGGAATTGGAGCAGCAAACACCTGTGGGTTCAAAAGATGGGGAGAAACTGGCAACTAAGGAGTAGCTGTAGTGAGAGGAGGAAGCTCCGGTGAGTGACTGTCTTGAAGCCTGGGAAGATGGACTTCAAGGAAGACACTGTCTTGAAATACATTTAAATTATGGAAATGGAAACTCACAAATACATATGAACACATATTCAATATATATTTAGTGGAATTTTTATTTTAGGTATAAAGAGTGTATTTCCTTAATTAAAAAAACATCTTAAAAATTTTTATGGTTGCTTACTTTTTCTGATGTATGTATTTATGTAAATCATTCTATATTCAAGGTGAGTCCATTTGTTTGTGTCATCTATGATTTCTCTCAGCAGTGTTTTATAGTTCTCCTTGTAGAGGTCTTTCACCTCCTTGGTTAAGTATATTCCTAAGTTTTGTTTTGTTTTTTGCTGTTGTAAAAGGGGTTGAGTTCTTGATTTGATTCTCTGCTTGGTCGCTGTTGGTGTATAGAAGAACTACTGATTTGTGTACATTAATTTTGTATCTGGAACTTTTCTGAATTATATTATCAGTTCTAGGAGCTTTCTGGAGTAGTCTTTAAGGTTTTCTAGGTAAACAATCATATCATCAGCAAACAGTGACAGTTTGACTTCTTCTTTACCAATTTCGATGCTTTATTTCTTTCTCTTGTCTGATTGCTCTAGCTAGGACTTCCAGTACTATGTTGAAGTGGAGTGGTGAGAGTGGGCATCCTTGTCTTGTTGCAGTTCTCAGAGGGAATGCTTTCAACTTTTCCCCATTCAGTATTATGTTAGCTGTGGGTTTGTCATAGATGGCTTTTATTACATCAATGTGAATCTGCTATTAGAAACAAATGGAACATTCTTGATGCCATAAAAACAGCTATTGCCACAAAGTACTCATTTAATCATCTATGTATTTTATTAGTCAACGTATTTTTATCTTCTATTACATTTATTAGGTTTACCTAAATTGGATGCTATAATTATTGCTTTTTCAGACCTGACTAGGTAGCAGCATAAACTCTCATTTAGTACTAATTCTTTTAAAATGTTGTTTCCTGTCAACCTCAATTTATGCTACAAATGATTATAGTAAAAGAAGAGTAGACAAAATATGAAGTTTCCCCAGCCAATATATCAATTAAAAGACCATATGTTTTTACCTTGCCATTTCCTAGTGATTTATGCCCAGACTTTTAAGTGCAAGGTAAATCATTAGGAACCGAGATATAAATCTACAGTTTCAGCAGAAGGTCTGAGGTGATTAAGTTGTGAAACTGATATTTTAGCAAATATACAAGATTACTATATTGCAAGATTATTTCAGCATTGTTCATACGAATTAAAGTATTCCTTCATACAACTATCCCAAGACACACTCTGCTTCAACACACACACACACACACACACACACACACACTCCATCCCCACCAACAATCACCTTATGACTTTATAATCACACTGTTTATTAAACTTAAGAGACTATAATCAGCTTGATTAGCTAGTTCTTTATCAACCAAGCTTCACTCAGAATATTTATATTCTAAGATAAACTAAGTGAAGTAGCTTCTGAAACTCACTCTATGAGTGAAGTTACAACAATACTTCAAACATATTAATGTATAAGTGCTGCGTGTGACTACCTTGAATGCTAGCATGGTAGGCAGCATAATGGTCCCCAAGATGTTCACATACTAATCGCTGTAACTTGTGATTATATTACATGGCAGTGGAGGGTTATGGTTGCAGATGGAATTAAGGTTGTCTATTAGAGAGCCTAAAGTAGGGAAATGATCCTGGATAAACTTGGTGCGTCCAATGTAATCCCAAGGCTCTTTAAAAGTGAAAGAGGGAGGAAGAGAGGAGGACACAGTGATCATGTGAGAAGGACTCAGTCTGATTTTGCTGGTTTTGGAGTATGAAGGAAGAGGGCCAAGTGCTTTGGTCAGCATCCAGAAACTGGAAAAGACAAAGGAAATGGATTCTCCCCTAGTACCTCTAGAACGGAATACAGCCATGCTAACACTTTGATTTTAGCTCAGTTGAGACTTATGTCAGACTTCTTACCAACAGAGCTGCAAGATAATAACTTAGTGTTTTTTTAAAGCACTAAATTTGTGGTGCTTTCTGGCAATGGGAAACTAATAAAACTAGCATATTGAGTTTCTGAAGTTCCTGCATATATATAAACAGCACATCATGTGAATTTTCCAAGGAGAAACATATAGAATGTTATTTAATCTGTAATAATTATACTATCAGTCTGGAATTGTTATATTGCTCAAAATTAAATTGATGAAAAAGTCATATGAAACCCAAAGGTTAGTTTCCTGAAGGATGCTAGTTGCCTCAAAAAGAAGGTAAATGTTACTCCTAATGAAAGAAAATAATTTATCCTCCCTAATGAATACGTTCTTATCTCTAGTAATTATATATTATTAGTGTTTATGTGAGTTTATTGAACTTCCAGTTCCTGTGTCCAAACATGATTAAAATAGTATTGAATTATTTTGTACAGTCTTAGGTAAATTATTCATCCACGCAAACAATAAACAAAGTAAAATATGGAATATTTGCAAAAGAAACATATTACCCTCTCTGCTTTTTACTTTTGTAGTGCAGGAAATAGTTACTTAACTTTTGCACAATGTCATTAAAAAAAGTGAATTCAATCATAGTAGAATATTCTATAGCTCAATTAAAAAATGTAACCTCATATAATTAACAAAGATTGGCTTAGAATGAGAATATAGAAATCTGTGTGTTTACTGATCAAACTAATTTTTAACTAAGAGACTAGAATGTTGCTCAACCTTTTTAAAACTGCTAAATAGGGAAAAATTTATCCTTCCAGTTTGAATGGCCTTATCTCATGTTTAAATCATAACACCTATGAAAATGTTCATAGAAAAATGTCAAATTTCAAGGGTATAAAAAAATAAAAGAATGGATTAAGGCAAATTAATTAAATTTGGCTAATATCAATTTTATTTCTTTCTTTAAAATGTCTCATGGATATTGTTTGCTTATACCTGGTTATAAAAGCCCTCTTTAGCATAGGATTCTAAAAGCAGTTGTATGATTTGCCTGCCTGCACGTGAAACAATCCTAGACATGATGGAGTATGCAAATGGAGTGACATATGCCAGTCTTCTTTAATCTGGCTTATTGGTGATGTTGGAAATACTGGCACAAATTGTCCATCTGAGTTTCTGTATTCTTTATCAGAGTGCCTCATTCAAATAATTGAATTCTAGGTAATAAAAAACGTGCAAATGAGCCAAAGCTTTGGGGAATAACTTCAGCTAACTGCAAAGCCTGTGAAAGCACCAGTTTGCCGAGATTACATCAGCATCTGATCTGCTTCCAAAGACCCTGGCTGGGTACTCAGAAGCAGAACCAACTCCCAATAATGTGTTCATTTCTGACACACAAGGAAGTGCCATTTTATTTTTCTCTTACATGTTTACTTTCCTGAATTATTTTTTTGTTCCTTTAATTTCTTAAGTGACAGGTGTTTATTGTAACAAGTCAAATTATACTTTGTTTCCCTTTCTTCAATCCCACTGAGTTGAAATATCTACAAACTATATATCCACAAATTAATAATTTGTTTATCCACTTACACCTTTTTCCATAAACCTGAAAAGCATATATATTTAAACATGCAAACATTAATTTTATTCAGCTTTTTAAAAATCAAGTGTTATTTAATCCATACTACTCTACTTAATCCTTACTTAATATTAGATCATTAAAATCTCTACAAAACAATATGTCAATCTGATGCGTTCTTGTCTTTATTTTTGCCTCATAACTCATTTTCATCCCTGTTTCTGTCTTTATATCCTGTCATGTTGCCATAAGTTAGTCTTATCCTTTGAAATTTGTAGGTATTCTTTTGTTTTCCTATTTTCAACTCTGTATCATTATATTTCTAACAATATTATTTCTTTCCTCTGTCACTCTGGATTCTACCAATCTTTCTAATCCTCCCAATCCCCTCCAGTCCTCATTAATCCTCTTTTTTCAGAGACCATCTACCTTATACTACTAAATAATATGCCTGAGTAATAGAGCCATCTGATCTTCTGAAACCCCTCAGTAAGACTAAGTCCATATTTCTTCCCTGAAATACTGCAGTTGACAATCTACAATTGGTGATTCTTTGAGACTGTTGAAAGGTCATAACCATTAGTTTACTACTGTGTCCACTCTGTACTGAAACAACAAATGTGTGTGTATGTGCGTGTTTGTGTGTGTGTGTAGATAAAATGTGTTTTTCCCCTCAACTCTTTTTTCTGTAATTATGTAGATTGCCAGAATCTGTGAGCTTTTTGCATTGTCTGTGATATCTAAAGACCTTTATTTTCCTAGATCTTTTTAATGTATTATGTAAAGTAAAATTTAAAATAGTTTTTCTTCAGAGTTTTTAAACAGAATTTATGGAAGTTTAATTAAGAATTATTTAATTTGAGCCATTTAACACTCACTCAGGTAATAAAAGGGAAAAGAAGCATGAAACAATAAGAATCAGTAGAATATGAATTTCACTGGGTCGAAATTTGCTAAGTATGAATCACCGTTTCAGATGAGGTGCTCTCGCCAACTTCAGAGGCAGTTCTTGTGTGACTGTGACTCTGGAAATAAGTAACCGTTAGGAATAGCTGTTTCTCTGAGAAAGCATCTCACTCCATTTTCAGTCCAGTGCTAAAGAGGATTTAATGTGTATGCAAAAAGGTATTTTTAACACTTAAATTTGGTATTAGCATCCTGGATGTGCTGACTCTTCCAAGTGTAAAATTGTGCTTTCAGAAAGAAGTAAACTAGGACACTTTGTCAGCATCCTAGAAATGATAGCCATTCTTTTACTAAAAGAAATGCCAAACATTTAAAATGAAAAAGTAACACATTAACTAAATGGAAAAACCAGATTGTTCTAATCAATAAACTCTACAATAATAGTTTGTTCTTAGCTAATATGTGTTTATATCTCTAATTTATTACCAACAGCAAAAAAGTATTATTTATAAAAATTTGATTTCCTGAGAGACATAAAATATTTAAAATAACAATTGCCTCAAATCAAATCGTGTTTAATTATTATTGAAGTTTCTGCTCTAAATGCTCAACCTAGACCTTGCCTTTCATTGAAAATACATTCACTCAGATATTTTGGTAGTACACAATCCTCCTACAAACCTCATCATTTACTTTTCTTCATACTTATTTTTCATCTAGCACTACTCAATTTTTTCCCAACATATTGAATTTTATTTAAAAATCACTACCTAAGAAAATTACAGCTTTATGACACATAAAAGTATATTATTTTGGCAAAATGAGTTTCATTGTACAAAAATATACAAATTTAACATAATTTTTATTAAGTACGATGTGGAGACATGGTATGCTGAAAAAATCATAGAAATTATTTAAGTAAAATGTATACTTTGAACTGAGATTTTATATAACTTATTGATTTAGTTAATGTTATATTTATATAATGTATCATTTATAATTTACTTGTGCATGCATAGTCAACCAGATTAACTGCCAGTTTTCTCTGGAACCTCAACATGTAGTAATCATTTTTTATATGACATTTCCTTCTTGGCCTACTGCACAGGAGTGTAGGTAGATATTGTTAACTTCATTTTGTAGAAGAGTACATTTAAGTCATAGAGTTCCTAGATGGCCCTACGGGACACACTTACTTAAAAGTAGCCGGGTCAGAATGGAGCATGCCCAGCTTTCCTCTTCCATCCATAATGCCTCTTCACAGGCCAGCACCCACACCCCCTGCACCCTGGATCCCAGCTGATGGGCTCATATCACATTTCAGAAATAAATTTGCTAAATCAACGGGACAGTGACAAGCTCACTTCCACCAATCTATATGAACTAGTACCAATATTCCTATCTCTTGCCTCTATTCAAATTATAATGAAGGACAATGCCTGCTATATCTGCACCTCCTTCTCAGGATTCTGTCCCCATACCCTCCCTGACTTCTCTCTTTAATTGGTTACATCATTAAAGTATCACTCTCTAATGGTCCTTCCCATAAGTGTGCTCTGGAAACTTCCCTCTTTTTTTTTTTTTTTTTTTTTTTGGGAGACAGGATCTCATTCTGTCGCCCAGGCTGGAGTGCAATGGTGTGATCTCGGCTCACTGCAACCTCTGCCTCCTGGATTCTGCCTCAGCCTCCCAAGTAGCTGGGATTACAGGTGCACATGACCATGCCTGGCTAATCTTTATATTTTAGTAGAGACGGGGTTTCACCACATTGGCCAGGCTAGTCTCGAACTCCTGAACTCAAGTGATCTGCCCGCCTCGGCCTCCCAAATTGGTGGAAACTTCCATCTTTAAAACACATCCAGGGACAACACCGCCTATTTACTCTGCTCAGATTTAACATGTTTCTGACATCTGAGTAAATGATCCCATTTGTACCAGTCTGAAAACTGAGAAAGATCCTTTACACCTTTGTCACCCTTATACCTCCTACCACTGTCAGATCCTATATGTTCTAACCCTAAAATATTTTAAAAATATGTTCACTATGTGTATCTTTGCTACCACCCTACTGGTTCAAATCACCATGATCTCTTCTATAATGATTTATTTCATTTGGCTTGCATCATCAAATACCCTTCTCGAATCATTGATATATTCATATGACAATCAGCAAATACTCCCTCTAAGTGTAAATCAGTAGATGTTGTTCCTCTCTTTCAAAACTCTTCCAAGGATCCCAATATGAAAAACAGGGGGCTAAATTCTTGCCATCACCTCAAAAACTTTTTATATTCTCATCTAGCCTTCCTGTCCAACTTGATCCCTATCTATGCTCATTAAGTGACAGTTTTATACTTTCCCCTCCTCAAATATGCTAAGCAGTTGAACTGGCTTGTTCCTTTAGTCTGAAATGTCCTTCTCTCATATTTTTTATGGTAAGCTTCTTGTCCTTCATGCTCTTCTCATCCTATTAAAAACAGAACCCTTTTCCCTAAAGTAGTTCTCCATCACACTAGCCAACTTTTTCCATGTTCTTCAATACTGTTTATTAGCTTATTCCTTTCCTTTTTTCTCACCTCCAAGTAAAAAGTAAACCTTCCTTAACCCAGGATATTGAGCATTCACTTACCTTTGGATTTCCAAGGTTTAAGAGATTTCCTGCTGCACAGCCCATACTATATCTCAGAAAATAAATTTGAAGTACATCGTACATAGATAATAGGACACAAGTGAATACCATACACAGGTAACCACCACTCTTACAAAATGGAATATTACCTGCATTCCTGAAGCCTACCTTTTGCACTTTTACAGTCCTATTCTCTTCCCCAGATATAACCTTTTTATCCTCACTTCTAACATTATATGTGGCATTTGCCTGTGTATTTAAAATAAACCAAATTATACAGTATTTTTCCATTGAAAAATATTTCCACAGTGTTTTTCCATTGGCTTTTTAACATTACTTTTGTTAAAAGCATCCATTTTGTGGAATTAATCAGTTGTTTATGCATTTTCATTCCTGTAGATTATTCCATTTTATAAATATACCGTAAGTTATTTGTTCTACTACTGAAAGGCTTTTGTGCCATTTCTTTTATTAACGATTAACTGTAATATTATTAATTAATATTATTGACTATTACTTCAGATAATAATAGAAACGGCACAAAAGCCCTTCAGTAGTAGAATGGATAATTTACGGTATATTTACTGTTGTATTTACTATTTACTACTATTCTATTTACTATTTCTATTAAAAACTATTACAAATAATATAACTGTGAACAGTCTTGTATTTGACTTTTGGAGAACATATGTGTGCCTTTTTCCTGAGTGTATATTGTAAGTAGAATTGTTATGTTATAAGTTATGTATATATTCAGCTTTAATAGATAAAGACAAATCATATTCCAAAGTGGTTCTACTAATTTATGTTCCTACACCATTATGAGATATATTTTTGTTATTGTCTGTCTTATTCATTTTAGTCATTTTGGCAGGTATGTAGTGGTATCTCATTGTATTATTCCCCTGCTATATTTTTAATCTTTAAAACTACAGTAAAATTTGAAAGAATAATGCAGTGAACATTCATACTCTTAAACTGGAGTCATCAATTGTTTTAATTTGCCACTTTCGCTTTATTGATAATGCACCGCCTTCATTTTTCTAACTGTTTGAAAACAACTTTTACCATTTGGATGCAGACTTTCAATGGTAGAAAATTGAAAAGCTTTCTGAATTTATAGACTTAGTAATTTTGACATTTAGTGAACATTTTCTTGATTTACTTTAATAGTTTTGCAAGTAGAATGGTAAGATGCAGTATAAATACAATATACTAAGTATATTTATTTCAAGATGCTAAGGAAACAAATTTTGCTTTGCAACTTGTGAGGATAATATATAAATGAGAAAAACAAAGGCTGTGCTAAAAATAAACAAACTCATTCAATTTGTTCATCATATTTAAAGCATGAATCAGGTTTGAAATGCCATTTGCAGATAATGCCACCACCAAAAGAATATCGCATTTTCTTTGTATCATCTTTGTTTACTTAGTACAAATACAGTTATTGACAACCAAAGAATGGTAGTTTAGACCTCAGAAAGCACATTTGTATTTTTTAAAACTAGGTTTCCCTTTATATGTAGTTCTTACTGGTATAATGGAGACTCCGATGGTGAAGCTAAATTATTGCACTATTTGGCAGATCACCTCGATTCACATTTCTTTCTCTCTCTCTCTCTCTTTTTTTTTTTAACGTTTAAGTTTAGAGGCACAAGTTACGTTTGTTACATAGGTAAACTTGTGTCATGGAGGTTTGTTGTACCAATTATTTCATCACCCAGGTATTAAGCATAGTACTCATTAATTGTTTTTCTTGATCCTGTCTTCCTCCTTCCACCCTCCACCTTCGGAAAGGTCCCAGTGTGTGTTGTTCTCCTCTATGTGTCCATATGTTCTCATCATTTAGCTCCCATTTATAAGTGAGAACATGGAGTATTTGGCTTTCATATAGTAGGTTTCATGGTATGTTTTATGTTTCATAGTATGTTTTAATGACCAATAACCTCCACTGATGTACCAAGTTTCGCAAATGATCTTTCTGTTGCCTTTCATTCTTTTAAACAAACTATCTTTTTATATATACATTAAATTAATATGTGAAGCTCTGGTAATATATTTTAAACTTTGCTTCTAACAAAACTTTTCTGTGGCATTGAACTTTTTTTGCTGATTAGGTTTATAAGTGATGTATGTGAATTCATCCCTATACATTAGCTCTTGAACAATTGAAGGTGCAAGTCACTTTTGAGTACTTCTATTTTAATGGTTATTTTATACTGGAAAATGTTATTTTTATGATATTTACTTGAGAACAAGCAAACTGGATACCAGCTCTATTATATATTCTGAATATTTTCAGAATTTTACTTTATTTTTGTCTGGTAGACTAGCATTTCATCAATAAGCATGCTTTGCTTTAATTAGGGTTAAAATGGATTAATTTGCTTTAAAATGAGCTATTTTCAAGACATCATGTTAAAAATATATTTCTTTTAGAATAAAATCTAAAAATAAGAAAGACTTATGCTCCAGCAGCTAGAGAAGAAATATGGGATTGCTGCACAAACTTTAATAATGTATTTTGTTTTCTTGTAAAATAGCATCACTCCGTCTCCAATGGAGATATTCTTCACTATCTGTTTTTAAAAAGTTTTCTGTATTACCTATATATGTCAACAAGTTAGTTTTCACTAAAATTCTATTTTTTTCTATCTTCTTTATTATTTTAAACACTTATATATATTTAATATATGTAGAATAATATTTAATCTCAAAGATTAAATATTATTTTACGGTATAAATAAATGTATGAATAATTATTTTCCTGATAGGGATTTTCAAAAAATCTTATGAACTGTATTCCCATGAGTCTCGTGAACTTAGCATTTAAATATTTCTTCATTTAGGTTTTTTATAGTTGTCTTCGGTTTACCCACAACACTACATAGCCTTTTAAAAGAAAACGTAATACAGTAATAGTTCCAAAACCTTAAGATAATGATTTAGGGAGTTTCCTATATAATATACCAATTTACCTAACTATATTTTAAAATTTTGATTTTTCACTTGTGATCTTAAATGAAAAATATTCCTGCAAAAGTGTAAAATGCTTAAATATATATTGAACAGAAGGATATCCTCTCTTATTGCTAAATTTAATTTTAAATATGGAAATGCATGACATTTATTATTAACAAATTATAAATATAAAGATGACTGTACCATGGCAGTATCAGTAATTTTTAGGGAAAATACTTATTATTCATGTTTATATTCTTGTGATATTTATATATAATATGTATTAATACTATAATTTATTATAATTTATTCATTGATGAATTTGCTTCTTTCTGTCTATTTCATTCTGAGCCTTTTTTATTCTTGCTGCCCTGGAGCAGTAGGTGTTTCTCAATGGTTCTTTACTGACCATTTGTTTCTCACTCCCCTGTTCAGCTCATCAACTTTCATGGTTATCACTCATGTAATTTTAGTGCTCCATGTATCTAGCTCTGTCCTTTAACCTCTAATCGGGTCTTTTATTTCCACCAATGAGCAGATCTTCTCCACTGTCTTATACTGTTCTACTCCTTAAACTTATTGGATGTAAAACATTCTTGGATTTTTAAATGTTTATATTACTATAATAAGGTGTTAATTTATAAACTCTTTAGGACACCTTCTTTTTTTATTTTATTATTATACTTTAAGTTTTAGGGTACATGTGCACAATGTGCAGGTTAGTTACATATGTATACATGTGCCATGCTGGTGTGCTGCACCCATTAACTCCTCATGTAGCATTAGGTATATCTCCTAATGCTATCCCTCCCCGCTCCCCCCACCACACAACAGTCCCCAGAGTGTGATGTTCCCCTTCCTGTGTCCATGTGTTCTCATTGTTCAATTCCCACCTATGAGTGAGAACATGCGGCGTTTGGTTTTTTGTCCTTGTGATAGTTTACTGAGAATGATGATTTCCAATTTCATCCATGTCCCTACAAAGGACATGAACTCATCATTTTTTATGGCTGCATAGTATTCCATGGTGTATATGTGCCACATTTTCTTAATCCAGTCTATCATTGTTGGACATTTGGGTTGGTTCCAAGTCTTTGCTATTGGGAATAGTGCCGCAATAAACATACATGTGCATGTGTCTTTATAGCAGCATGATTTATAGTCCTTTGGGTATATAACCAGTAATGGGATGGCTGGGTCAAATGGTATTTCTAGTTCTAGATCCCTGAGGAATCGCCACACTGACTTCCACAATGGTTGAACTCGTTTACAGTCCCACCAACAGTGTAAAAGTGTTCCTATTTCTCCACATCCTCTCCAGCACCTGTTCTTTCCTGATTTTTTAATGATCGCCATTCTAACTGGTGTGAGATGGTATCTCATTGTGGTTTTGATTTGCATTTCTCTGATGGCCAGTGATGGTGAGCATTTTTTCATGTGTATTTTGGCTGCATAAATGTCTTCTTTTGAGAAGTGTCTGTTCATGTCCTTTGCCCACTTTTTGATGGGGTTGTTTGTTTTTTTCTTGTAAATTTGTTTGAGTTCATTGTAGATTCTGGATACTAGCCCTTTGTCAGATGAGTAGGTTGTGAAAATTTTCTCCCATTTTGTAGTTTGCCTGTTCACTCTGATGGTAGTTTCTTTTGCTGTGCAGAAGCTCTTTAGTTTAATTAGATCCCATTTGTCAATTCTGGCTTTTGTTGCCATTGCTTTTGGTGTTTTAGACATGAAGTCCTTGCCCATGCCTATGTCCTGAATGGTAATGCCTAGGTTTTCTTCTAGGGTTTTGATGGTTTTAGGTCTAATGTTTAAGTCTTTAATCCATCTTGAATTAATTTTTATATAAGGTGTAAGGAAGGGATCCAGTTTCAGCTTTCTACATATGGCTAGCCAGTTTTCCCAGCACCATTTATTAAATAGGGAATCCTTTCCCTGTTGCTTGTTTTTCTCAGGTTTGTCAAAGATCTGATAGTTGTAGATATGTGGCGTTATTTCTGAGGGCTCTGTTCTGTTCCATTGATCTATATCTCTGTTTTGGTACCAGTACCATGCTATTTTGGTTACTGTAGCCTTGTAGTATAGTTTGAAGTCAGGTAGCGTGATGCCTCCAGCTTTTTTCTTTTGGCTTAGGATTGACTGGGCGATGCAGGCTCTTTTTTGGTTCCATATGAACTTTAAAGTAATTTTTTTTCAATTCTGTGAAGAAAGTCATTGGTAGCTTGATGGGGATGGCATTGAATCTATAAATTACCTTGGGCAGTATGGCCATTTTCACGATATTGATTCTTCCCACCCATGAGCATGGAATGTTTTTCCATTTGTTTGTGTCCTCTTTTATTTCATTGAGCAGTGGTTTGTAGTTATCCTTGAAGAGGTCCTTCACGTCCCTTGTAAGTTGGATTCCTAGGTATTTTATTCTCTTTGAAGCAATTGTGAATGGGAGTTCACTCATGAATTGGCTCTCTGTTTGTCTGTTATTGGTGTATAAGAATGCTTGTGATTTTTGTACATTGATTTTGTATCCTGAGACTTTGCTGAAGTTGCTTATCAGCTTAAGGAGATTTTGGGCTGAGACAATGGGGTTTTCTAGATATACAATCATGTCATCTGCAGACAGGGACAATTTGACTTCCTCTTTTCCTAATTGAAAACCCTTTATTTCCTTCTCCTGCCTAATTGCCCTGGCCAGAACTTCCAACACTATATTGAATAGGAGTGGTGAGAGAGGGCATCCCTGTCTTGTGCCAGTTTTCAAAAGGAATGCTTCCAGTTTTTGCCCATTCAGTATGATATTGGCTGTGGGTTTGTCATAGATAGCTCTTATTATTTTGAGATACGTAGGATACCTTCTTTTGTGATCAGTGTATCAGTGTTCCTTATGATGTAAATGAAAATATGTGCTATGCCATCTTCTATTTTTCTGAGACCAACATGATTTTATATAAGTATGAATGTGAGAATCAGTCACAAATTGTTTTGAAGCTTAGTAACATTAAAGTTTATATCACCACAGGCAAGTTATATAATTTGCTCTCTGTACAATATGTACAACACAAACCAAAAGAATGAAAATTTTATGATTCTAGAACAGAACACAGTGTCAAGCACACAGAAGGCACTCAGTAAAACAGGTTTCATCATCATTTCTATTCTTAACAGTTGAATGAATCTTCTATATTTTTCTAATTATAACATTGGAATCACCATGATTTCTTTAAGGTCAAAAGTCTAAAATAATATTGAATATTTCTCCTCTAATCTGTTTCTATTTTTTTCATTTTTGTAATTAATGTATCCTTTAGATGCAAATTTCTGAATCAAGTAACTATCACATCAATATCGTTAATCTCTCCTATTTAGTTTACTATAGCTTTTATAGCATTCATTCTCACTTTCCTTTATTATAGATTTTTTTTACATTTTTTTCTTTTAAACCTAAGTGTAGTGCATACTGCTTCAGAATAAATATGACATTATTATTTTCTTTTTTATGTCACCTAGACCTGGTCTTGTTGCAAATATATTATATGGATGTGCTATAAATTTTAATTAATGGGTTTGGTATTAGTACATTTTTTCACTAATATTTGATATTAACAATTATGTACATTCAATATAACTGTAATTTTTGTTATGTAGCCATCTTTTATTATGTTTTATTTTAAAATAAACTCTCAAAGTATGAGAATACTCTGAAATGACTTTAAAATAGCTCATCACTATGTTAATGAAGTGAAATTCTTTATCTATTTCTTCATTATTTATTGTAGGTGAATAAGCACGCATATATAACTCTTGAAAATAATAACTAGTAGTTTACTATTGGAAAGAAAATCTGCTCCAGAAAAAAAACAGGCTTTGAGCTGATTTCCATCAGTAAAATTTTCTACATATAGAATCCCTTTATTAAGAAAAATAATTGTTTTTTCTTTTAATGATTTAGCAATTTTGCTACTTTCTTTATACCATGTGACTGATATGGTGATTTGCTAAATATATCATCTCCATGCTTCAGGTATTGTATATAGAAGAAAATAACCAATCTATAACATCCAGTTGGAATATACAATTATGTGGATAGCTGATATAACATTGAATGTGATAAACCTTTCTCTTTCTTATCCAGATTTATGAGCTCTTAATCTTCTCTCAGGCCTTCATACTTTTAGTGATTAAAGATTAGAAGCCTAACTAATATCCATGAAATTGTGACATGTTTTTCTCTCTGAGCAAGAGCATTATTGGATATATTATTTTTAATCTCATCATAATTGAATTAAATAATCTGAACACAACAGCTGTCCAGAAATAAGCATATAGTATGTTTTAATGATGAATAACCTCCACTGATATACCAGGTTTCACAAATGATCTTTCTGTTGCCTTTCTTTCAATCTTTTAAACAAATTATCTTTTTATATATAAATCAAAGTAGTGTGTATAGTACGAAGTTCAAACTCACACAACAAAATTTATTCGTTTTCTCTCCTGAAAGCCTTTTTCTTTTTTTATGAAAGCCACATACCATCTGTTTGTATTTACTACAGGTTTTTGTCATTGTAGTAAAAGAAAAGCAAATTGTGTGTTCTGTTGTACTGCATGCACACTGTCTCTGTCATGTAAGTGTCGCTGGGAGAGAGGTAGCTGTTTATTGACATGGCGGGACAATACACTAGGAAATCCTGTCCTCTGTCCAGTTGCACTTTTGTTCCCACAAGAACCTCACACCTGTCTCTTTCTACCTGCCTCTCTCTTTCTACCCGCCTCTCTCTTTCTACCTGCCTCTCTCTTCCTCCTTCCTCCTTAAATGTAACCTGGTGGAGAAATGTAGCCTTCAGGACAGTGAAACTGTTGACATACTGTATAGTTTTTGTACTTTTCCCCAGTAATTATCAGAATAAAAGAAATCTAATAAATCACTCCTGTAATTCTAGCACACTGATTCAACTTTAATAGATATTTTGCTAACATATAATGCTATTTATTAAATCTACAAATTATAATTATCTGCTTGTCATTTCCTGTATCAGGGGAGTGTGTTTCCATATTTTAAACATATAGTAAAGTCAGATATAGTTTATGTAAAGTCATCAAGCCATTTAAAACATTGAATACAGCAAAGTTCAGATTTAGAGTTTTTCTTATTTGTCAGAATTGTGGAGAAAATCCACTCTATGTAGGTCCCATTATATTCCTACATATGTGGCTACATTTATTCACTTGTATACACATAAGACTTATGTTTATTATACATTTCCAGAGGATTGAAACTTGTGTTTTTATAAAATAGCTTATGGCATTGTTATGCTTGCATTTTTAATTTAATTTTATTTTATTCTTCATAGAGTGAGATAGATCTATTGTTTAAAACGCGGGTATAGAAAACATATAAACTACAAAATAAAGATATCATGCAATCCCCCCACTCATAGATAATCTCCACAAAAACTTTGATAAATATTCCTTTAAGCAAATGTACTCTATAAGTACAACCATTTTATGGTATATATTGCATATGTGTGGATTTTGAACAAATTTTGCACCTGATAATACATCATTGAATGTTTTAATAAACTTAAGTATTTCAATATCATGCTATTTAAAGCCCTTATATCTTTAATGGTCATATCAAAATTTATTCATCTAAATTATTATGTTTGGCTCTTTTGTTTATTTCTATTGCTACTACCAACATTGCTATAGTCGTTTTGTTCAAATTGTTTTGTATTTCTGATTTTTTCTTAGTTTAATTTCTATAACGGAATTAGCCAAAATATGTAAATTTTTTCAGGTTCTAAATACATAGTTCCATATTATACCTCAGAATTTACATTCAAGGTCTTTTCTTTCTTTTTTTTTCTTTTTTTTTTTTTTGATACAGGGCCTTGCCCTGCCATCCAGGCTGGAGTGCAGTGGCACAATCCCACTCACTGCTGCCTCAACCTCCAAGGCTCAAGAAATCCTCCCACTTCAGCATCTTCAGAAGCTGAGACTATCCCAGGCTCAAGCAGTCCTCCCACCTCAGCCCCTCAAGTAGCTGGGACTACAGGCACATGCCACCACACCCATATAATTTCTTTTTCTTTTCTTTTTTTTTTTTTTCTGTAGAGACAGGGTCTCACTATGTTGCCCAGGCTAGTCTTGAAATCCTGGGCTCAAGTGATCCTTCCACCTTGGCCTTCCAAAATGCTGGGATTACAGGAATGAGCCACTGCACCCAATCTTTAGGTTCATTTCAACTTGTCTGCATGACAAACCAAATTTGCGCAGTCATTAACAACTCATGTAGCTGAATCTATTATATTATGAAACAACATATATCTGATATGTACTCTTTTTTATATCATGTTCTAGTTTTCAAATTTTTAAATCAAATGATAGACTTCATAAACATTTTTAAAAATCTGTGTTTTAGCTTTTGCCTTTGTCTTTTGATATGGTTTGGCTGTGTCCTCACTCAAATCCCATCTTAAATTGTAATTCCCATGTAATCCCCACATGTTGAGGGAAGGACCTGGTAGGAGGTGATTGGATCATGGGGGCACTTGCCCCTATGCTAATGTCTTGATATTGAGTTAGTTCCCAGGAGATCTGAAGGTTTTAAAAGGGGCTCTTCCCCCTTTGCTCTTTTATCTCTTTTGATCTGGCCACCTTGTGAAGAAGATGTTTGTTTCTCCCTCCATCATGATTGTTAAGTTTCTTGAGGCATCCCCAGCCATGCAGAACTGTGAGTCGATTAAACTTCATTTATTTGTAAATTACTTTATTTGTCCATTCTCATGCTGCTAATAAAGACATACCCAATACTGGGTAATTTATAAAGGAAAGAAGTTTAATTGACTCACAGTTCAGCATGGCTGGGGAGGCCTCAGGAAACTTATAATCATGGTTGAAGGGGAAGCAAACATGTCCTTCTTCACATGATAGCAGGAGAGAGCAGAATGAGAGCTAAGCAAAAGGAGAAAAAGCCCTTTATACAACCAACAGATCTCACGAGAACTCACTCACTATCACTAGAACAGCATCATAAGTGTAACCATCCCCATGATTCAATTACCTCCCACCAGATCCCTCCCATGACAAGTGGGGATTATGGGAATTCGATTACTGCAATTCAAGATGAGATTTGGGTGGGGACACAGCCAAACCATATTGATTATCCAGGCTCGGACAGTTCTTTATAGCAGTGTGAGAGCAGAATAATACATATTTCATATCACTATTATCACCTTCCAACACCATTGTAGTTTTAATACCTTGAAGTGAAAAGTTGGATAGGAATGAAAACTGCTTAAGAATTGTTTTAAACCTTCATAAATGGAAATACTGTAAAATTATGACGGTATGTAAGGAATTGTGTGATTTCAGTGAATGAATGGGTACATAGACATTAGCTTGTATTTGTGGGCTATGCTTATTGAGGCTTGATGTTCATATTTCAGTTTTTGTTTTTCTTGTCAGATCTCTTGTTAGCAATGATTATGGATCAATTTTAAACTAGAAATAAGAGAATACATTTAAAAAATCAAATACAAAGAAAATACACTGAGTTGTTTTGTCAGGCTATAGTGTCAATGAGTCTCAAGAGAAAGGATAGCAAGCTCAATAATGTCTTTCCTGCCTTGGTGAATTAGATGGGACATTGTATCATCTTAAATGAATTATGCATTATGAATACTTTAAATAATATTCTCTGAGACTTAAGTATTCCACAGAATCTCCTTAAGATGTATTTATTTACTTTTTTATTTTTTGAGACCGAGTCTTGCCCAGGCTGCAGTGCGGTGGTGCAATCTCGGTTCACTGCAACCTCCGCCTCCCAGGTTCAATAGATTCTCTTGCCTCAGCCTCCTGAGTAGCTAGATTTACAAGCACCTGCCACCATGCCCAGCCAACTTTTTTGTATTTTTAGTAGAGACAGGGTTTCACCATGTTGGCCAAGCTGGTTTCATACTCCTGATCTCAAGTGATCTGCTTACCTCAGCCTACCAAAGTGCTAGGATTACAGGCATGAGCCACCACGCCCCGCCCCCTTATTTTTGAAAAATAAAATACAATGCTATGCAATGTAAAATTTTATACTGAGTCTAAATATGTCAAATATTCTTAAAGGAATTGAATTTTCTTTTTTTTTTTTTTTTTTGCTTTTTGACGTTTATTCTCTAAATTACGAAGTAATCACTGGTTCATATTATCTCTTCAATTTAATTTATTAAATGTTTGTAAATAGTAAATCTGATTAGCAAATATATTTTTCCATCTTTAAAACCCAAAATTTGATACTCATGTAAAATATGAGAAATAGAGATAAAAGAATATTCCATAAATAATTTACATAAAAACATTTATCAAACAGTGGAGAAGACTTCCCACTCAAGGTTAAAGAAGAGACATTATACTAAATTATGACAATATTGGGGAAATCAATTAAAACTCTATTTCTTCAAACAAAATAATGTACTGAGAATCAATTATGAAAAGATCATAACATATCAAAAGGAATGATAACAGAATATTTATAATATCTACAGGAGAGAAGGTTAACAAAAGTTTCCAAATTTTATTTAAAAAACTTGCAGAGAAAAAATTGTTTGGTTTAAAAAATACAAACTTAGAAGTAAAAAAAATAAAAGGTAAAGAAAGCTAATGCAATAATTACTGCAAACGAGATTAAGGGCCAATTATTTTATTACATGACCATAATAAAAACTTAAAAAAGCCTTTTGAGCTGGAATCAGGACAACAAAATGATATTATTGGATATGGTATGTATCGAAACATTAAAATTAAGAGAATCATGAAAGACAACAGGCAACAGACAAAATAATGTAATCATGAGTAATGTAATCACTATAAATTTCAGGCTTATGTGAAATTACAATAATTATATTCATAATGAAGATAAGATACTATCTTTCTAATTTTCAATGTGAAACAAAATCCAGTGCTGGTGACATTGTGCTGAAGTGGGTACACTCCATCATTGCCAGTGGCATCACAATTTCACAACTGATATTGACCAATAACATATATACAGTTATGTGCCAGATAATGAAGTTTAGGTCAATAACAAACCTCACATATTATGGTGGTCTCATAAGATTATAATGTAGTTGGCTGGGCACGGTGGCTCACGCCTGTAATCCTTGCGGTTTGGGAGGCCGAGGCGGGTGGATCACGAGGTCAGGAGTTTGAGACCAGTCTGGCCAACATAGTGAAACCCCATCTCTACTAAAAATACAAAACAAATTAGCGTGCTGGTGTTGTGGTGTGCGCCTGTAATCCCAGCTACTCGGGAGGCTGAGGCAGGAGAATCTCATGAACCCAGGAGGCGGAGGTTGCAGTGAGCCTAGATCGCGCCACTGCACTCCAGCCTGGGCGACAGAATGAGACTCCATCTCAAAAAAAAAAAAAAAAAAAATTATAATGTAGTTGAAAAATACCTATCACCTAGTAACATCATAGCCATTGTAACATCGTAGCACAATGAATTACTCACGTTTGTGGTGATGATGGTATAAACAAACCTCCTGCACTCCCAGTCTTATAAAAGCCTAGCACATAGCACATATAATTATGTACACTACATAATGCTTGATAATGATAATAAATGACTATGTTATTGGGTTATGATTTACTGCAGTATAGTTTTTATTGTTATTTTACATACAGTGTTTACATATATGTATGTATATTTGTGTGCGTGTGTGTGTGTATATATACATATATACACATATATATACACGTGTATATATACATATATACATATATATACACGTGTATACGTATATACGTATATACACGTGTATACATATATACATATATACACGTGTATATGTATACATATATATACATGTGTATATATATATACACGTGTATATGTATACATATACACGTGTATATATATACACGTGTGTGTATATATATATATACACACACACACACACACACACACACACATACACACACACACACGTATATTAAACATCCTCAGGCAGGTCCTTCAGGAGATATTCCAGGAGAAAGTGTTGTTATCATAGGAGATGACAGTTCTATGTGTGTTATTGCCCCTGAAGACGTTTTAATGGGACAAGATGTGCAGGTGGAAAACATTGATTTTGATGATCATGAGCTAGCATAGGCCTGATTTGCATGTTAGTGTCTTTGTTCTTAACAAAAATGTTTAAAAAGTAAAAACAAATGAAAGATAGAGAAGTGCTTGTAGAATAAAGAGATAAAGAAAGAAAATATTTTATACAGCTATAAAATGTGATTGTTTTAAGCTAATTGTTATTTAAAACACTCAAACGTTTTAAAATAATTAAACAGCTGATAATGCAAAAACTTACAGTAAGCCAAAATTAACTTACTGTTAAAGAAAGAAAATATTTAAATTTAGTGTTACCTAAGTATACAGTGTTTATAAAGACTACAGTAGTGTAGAGTAATGTCATAGGTCTTCACATTTACTCATCACTCACTCATTGACTCACTCAGAACAACTTTCAGTCCCACAAGCTTCCTTTTTAGCATCCTATACAGGTGCATCATTTCTTATGTTTTATACTGTATTTTTACTGTACCTTTAAAAATGTTCAGATACATAAATATTTACCGTTGTATTACAGTTGTCCACCTGTACATGCTGTGCAGATTTGTAGCCTAGGAGCAATAGGCTATATCATACAGCCTAGGTGTGAAGTAGCCTATCCCCTCTAGGTTTGTGTAAGCACAAATCTGTGATGTTCATACAAGAATGAAATCATTGAAGGGTGTATTTCTCAGAACACATTCCTGTCATTAAGGGATGCATGACTGAAAATCATTTTTCTTGCCCCTTCTCCTTCTGGAAATCTGTCTCCAAGATACAGCACTCAATATGGAAAATATATGTTTAAACCACCTGTATTTATAGTAACAGAACATTAGAGATAATCTAAATTATCAAACAATTTAACATTATTAAATAAATTGTAGGTAGAATGTTATAAGCAGAAGTCACAAAATGAGTTTTCTTGGAATTAAACATGGAAAAGACTGAATAAGTGGGAAAATAAATACAAATGTTAAATACAGTATACTTACAATTATGTTTATAAAATGTATTTGAAAACTATTTTAATATTGTACCCCTTATTTGCATTTTTTAAAATTCCCATAACTAAATATACATTAGTATATCTTCTGAGTTTATATTTAATGGCATCTTAAATAATATTTTTAAATAAATAAAGATATTTAATAGTTTTACACACACTCACCTACAGTTATACACACACAAGCTAATGAAGATATGTGAATATTAAGCCCAGTAAAATATTTACTGCTTTCAGGACTCTCTGTTTCCCTTCTCATCTTCAATCTTTTTCTACTTTTCTTTTTCATTCACTCTTCCCTCCCTTCATCCTTCTTTGCCTTGTCTTTTTCCATTTTACAAATATCTTTCTTTGTTTCTCTTTCATGACTGCTATATTTTAAAAAACGTTTACCATTGTTTCAGAATAACAGAAAGACCAGGTACAGACATTGTTGAGTTAATCAAATAAGAGTAAATTATTTAATGGTGCAGAAGATGGTATGGCAGTGAGGATACCTAGCAGAATGGTCAGCAAATTTCTTCAAGGCCACTGTCACCAATGACCTGATGAAGTGATGCCACTTCACACTGCTCTGGAAGTCCAAACATTCTCCATAAGATAGAACCATAAAATGCGATGCAACACGGAACATCACACATGTTCTCATGTCTCGTTTGTTACTTCCAGACTTTCCAAAGTTACACAAACTGGTTCAAGCATATTCCAGGATATAGAGATGAAAGGATGAGTGTCAGTTACCTGGGGCTTCCCAGGCTGACACTAACAGGCTCTTGGTGTGGTATAGAGACTATTTTACCTGTCTTCTCCTCTTTTACATGTTTTCTTTTATATTTATTCATTCAGCCAATACTGCTTAGTGCCTATCAAGTTCCTGGCGTGTGCTAGGTACTGAGGGTATAAACACCTGGCCCCTGGCCACAGGTCATTTACAGTTCATACAGTAACCTTGATGGCAGTTCATAATGACCTTGATGGCAGTTCATAAGTCCTAAGTACATTAACTAGAATCTTTTAGCTTCTCCTTTTTTTTTTTTTTTTTTTTTGGTGAAGGAAAGATCATCCTATTGAGTTTCTTTATCTAGTATAAGAAATAAGCTCCAATATTTTAAGCTGGATATAATACAAGTTTATATGTTTGTTTGTTTAGTTATTGGGCATCGCAACATGGCTTAGATCAATGGTTGAGAGTGTTTATTCTACTCCAGGCATTTAGGGATCCAGGGTGCTCAAAGCTCTACCATTATCAACATAAGGCTTCGTTCACACTGGATATCACTATCTAGTCTGCTGAAGGGGAAAAACAATGAGAGAGATCCCTTGGAAAATGTAATGGCTGGGCCAGCCATCATAAGTTCATCCCCAAACACAAAGGAGGTGAAAATGGTAGTTTATTTGTGAGCCAACAAAGAAGAGAAAAAGATTTATTTCAGAAAGGGTCAGCTGTATCTGTTATACTTGGTCATAAAAGGCACTCATCAATGTGATGTTTTGGCATGAAAATTATCAACATAGATTTTGTATTTTTCAGTTATCTACATATTACATTTTTGTAGAAAATAGCTGTTTAGTAAAAACATATATGTTATTTTCTCAGCAGAATCCTTTAACTCTGAAAATAAATAGTCTTCTATTGTACATCATCTCATAAATTACAACAGATGATGGAAGCAAAGAAAAAAATGTATATAATTCTTCTCGATTGGACAAAGAGTAAGGCCAATGTCTACTCTTAAATAAATTGCAAACATATTTTTAGCTCAAAACCAAATACTAGATTATTGGAGTTTTGATGGTAATTTATTTCTAAGTGTACCCAAAATTTTATTTCCAAGTGATAAACAATAACTAAAATAACTCCATGTTTCTAAATAGAAACATTTTGGTCATACTAACTGCAATGTACATCTTAATTGAAAACTTAGAAAAGATTATTCAAAGGCTATGTAGATATTTTTAAATATACCCTTATATGTACCTAACACATATACACACACAGATATACATAACACATAGAGCTGATATATTATTCCTTCTATGTATATGATATATTATTATTGATGTATATAATGACATATAAATATAAATTATAATTACATATATAAAACATATATATACACATACATATATGCATGTTTGTGTGTTTATGTTTGCAGATGTTTGAATTCACTCTGAAAGTACAAAAATAATTATCAGTGATTCTCTTGTCCATGCTTGGTGAAATAAAACAGATTCTCCAGATGCCCCAGGGCTGATTTCTCCTTAAAATAGCCAGAGAAAGAGATTAGAGATGCTCAATTCTATGGGACGTGAAACATACAAAAAGGACTTTGCAGCACTTTACTAAACTGAGAAACAGATTTTAATTTTTCCCAGAATATTCCAAACACCTACCAGGGCAGAAATTGTTAGTATGTAAGTAAGTGGTATTAAAAGTAATTATAGATAGCTATATAGAGACATAAAGTTTATAAATAAGTCACATAGATTTACATCCACCTCTACTACTTGGGATTTTACTAAGGTACTCTTAGTTCACAGTTTTCTGCTCTTGAGATTCTTATACGAATTATGCATGACAACTGAAAATGTTAACCAATGGTAACATTTTTCTAATACAGTGATCGTGCAGGAGAAAAAGATAAATTAAAAACATATATATTTTACTGAGCATCACAAATATTCTATAATACTTTAAGAAGTAAAATATATACTGTATTATCAATACTAATTGGAAGGCAATAACTATTTATATTACAAGAGACTTGTTAGATATATTGTTAACAATTTGATAAAGAATTTAAAGGCAGGATAATTTGGTAAGAAATGGTTTCTTAGTATTCATAACTGAAACAATCAGTATTGAATGTAAATTATCACTAAATATTTTAGGACCTTTTTTGTTGGCAATCCTGTACAGAAAATTATAAGGAGCATCACTCTGTAATGAAAGAATTTACCAGTAATCAATATATTTAACACTAACTGCTGATGATTAGGAATGATGTTGACCTACTCTTTTAGCCTAAGAAAGGTAATCAAAGTGTTATCTTTTGATTTTCCTCCCACAAATAAATTATTTAGAGAGTGGACAGATCAAAAAGATTAAAATTGAACATATATACTTTTCACTGCATAAATGAAATTACTTAGAAAGTATGGAAGAAGTAAACCAAGGTTAATTTCAATTTAGCATCTAAATTAGACATAGAATTGGCTTTCAACTGCAGAAACATTCTCCGTTTGCAATGATACCTTTTTATTTGTTTCCTTCATTTGAATAAAACTTAGCTTATTTAAAGTACATGTTTCTTACAATTATGCCAGAGTAATGTAAATAAAGATACTATAAAATCAGTTTTCACTAACTACTATGAAAATATCATGTTGTTCTAAGGTAGCCCCTTATTCCATATGTTCATAATTTGATACTTTGGGGGAAACTAAACTGTGTATTTATACTTGGATATCTGAAACTTTACATGTAAATTTAGTTCCTTATGATAAAATACCTTGTAATGTATGTATTTTCAATTGGTATATTTTCTTGGTGAGAGTAACATCCTGGTCAGCAAGTTAATTTACTGGATGATGGGATCCACAAATCTGTTTTCACACCTGTTATGCCTGGCAGTTACTCTTTGGGAATGTGTAGTTATTTGTAGCTTATTATTATTTCTGTTCATTCTTAACTTTTCTCACATTGTACTCTATTTTTTTTAACTTTGCTATCTATCTACATATTTCATTAAATTCTTTAGCAACTAGGAATGTCCAGTATGTGCTATAAATTTTAAGTGTTACCTCTTCCTTTGTTTTTAAGTTTGCCTGGGCACTCTATTATAGTTAAAACTAGGAGCAGCACTTATCTTTTAACTGTCCTCTTAATGTGTATTCTTTAAGTGGTATAAAATCTATACAAGTACATGCTACAATAAATTCATACAGGGAAGGGAATAAAATTTAAATTCATCATCTCACAGCTTTATCAGAATTCCATTGTTAAAATACCCAGTGTTTTTGCATTTAGTTCTTTTTTTGCTTTTATTGTTGTACTTCTGCAATTGATTCTCATTCCTTTTACCTTTACCATCATATTTGATGCTATTGTGAAATGATGAGCACATTAGCTCACTGTATTAGTCTTTCTTACACTGCTAATAAAGATGTGCACGAGACTGGGTAATTTATGAAGGAAAGAGATTTAATTAACTCACAGTTCAGCATAACTGGGGAGGCCTCAGGAAACTTACAATCATGGTGGAAGGGGAAGCAAACATGTCCTTCTTTATATGGCAGCAGGAAGGAGAAGTGCCAAGCTAAGGAGGAAAAGCCCTTTATGAAACCATCAGCTCTCCTGAGAATGCATTCACTATCATGAGAGCAGCATGGGAGAAACCACCTCCATGTTTCAATTATCTCCATGTGGTCCTGCCCTTGACACATGGGGGATTATTACAATTCATGGTGAGATTTGGGTGAAGACACAGCCAAAAGATATCACTCACTATCTCCTAAACTTCACTCCACTTGTGCAGTCGTATCTTCAGTCCCAATAACTCTTTTTTTTTTTCCTGAGATTGTTATTTTTCATAACAGGTGCTTCTTGTTTGGGTTGACGTAAGTTTGAAATGTATGTTTGTGAATGCATTGTGTATGTGTGAGTTAGTGTGTGTGTGTTTGTATTTGAAAGCATGAACATTTGAAAATATATACATGAATATATACTGAAAAATATGTATGCATTTTTTTTCCTATTTACTTTTTGACACCTATTCAGATTGGTTATCTTGGTCTCTTCTTTCTTCAGCGTGCTTTCTTTAAATAAACACACCTTGTAATTTTTGATGTTCCAACATGTTTATGATTAAAGACATGTTTAATATAAATCTCTATAAGGTTTTATCTGTAATTTCATTGGGCTATTTTCCAAATACATCAGTCTAATTTGGGATATTTTGTAGCACTCAATAGGAATTTCTCATATTTCAAATATGAATTGATATGTGTAGTTTTCTCTTAATTTTTGTCCTGAATATACTTTTTTACCACTTAAATTTTAACCGTTGCTTCTCTTTTATTCACAGTATTAATGCATACATCTACAAAATTAAACCAAAGAAAAACAGTTTGATACTGTTTTTAGCCTTTTCACCTGTTCTTTTCCTAAAATTGGATCAATTATATTAACAAAAATCAGCATGAAAGATAAAAGTGATTAGAAATTGCTTTTTGAAAAGCAGCACACATTATTCATAATATCAGTTCATAATCCCAGATGATCCAAGTGCTAGATTTGAGTGGTATTTTTAGGATATTTAGTAAGTACAGAAAATATAATAGGTCCTGAAATGAATGCAAAGATGTGGTAGAATCAACTTCTGTAAAATGACCAATTACTGTCTCCTAAAAATAATCTGAATTGTATGGCTATAATTTTAATAGTTTTTCATTTTGAAAGTCTCTTCAACTTTTTTGTGAAAATATATTCCTTTTTCAAGGAAAAATTATAACTCTAGTAACTAGCTTAATTAAATCTTTTTTCTTTTTCCATTTAACTCCCCTCCCCATACAGATAACACACAGAAAAAAATTAAAGCAGGAAAACAACCTCATAGTTTGACTATTATTTAGTGTTCCAATTCAAGGCAAAAGGCTATGGAAGAATGACATAAAGCAATATGCTGATTTCCTCTGCTGCTTTCTAGTCCACAAAATAATCAACACCATTAAATCTACTTCAGGAAACAAACTATATATCATTATGTCAACGCTAAAGATACACCACAAAATGGATTTATTTTTCTGGCAGATAAACATGTATTTGATATTCATTACTTTTTAAGTCTTGTCTGTAATTATTTTTAAACTCTAATCATTTTATTTTTTACTTTATTTAATTGGAACTTTCCTGCCTACCAATAATGCCCATGAATAAAATATAATAATAAAAATATATCAGTATAATAAACAAACAGAAATTCTAAGGATTGCTCATTGTTACCCTATACTGCATCAGTCAACATAACAGAAACCAATAGAGAGACAATAAGCAGTACTCTAGTTCTTTAATTGATTAATAAATCTTCCTCTATGTAAGTACTAAACTCATTTATTATTCAGTCTTAACATATTCAGTATTGATTCTGTACACAGACTTCCTGTATTTTTGTTGTATTTAACAACATCCTCATTTTAAATAATTTATAAATATTTGTGAATATGTTTTTCACCATAGGTATTCTAGACTTTAGGATCTAGTTGAGATTGTATGTTGTTTCAATGTGCTCTGTGAGTACTGTTTGTGTCTTTCCTCCTGTGAACCCCAAAATAGATACTTAGAGCACAGCAGCTCATGTCAAATGTTTTCTTAGAAGTTGAGTCTTAAAATATCACCCAAGTAATTGCTTTCCATAATTGTGTAGATAAATATGTGTTTGCTAGTCTAATTTCCTTGTCAGATAAGTGAAATGAATAAAATAGATAATTGAGACTGAATTCAGATGGTAAAGTTTCTATAAATTTATTTTCTGTTTTAGAGGCTCTAGTTTCAAGCAATTGAACAACTGTATAACTACATTTTACTATTGTGACAAATCCTCATTTCTCCAAAATATTTCCCCTAAATGCCTCTCATATCATTGAATATGTTATATGAGGTTTGAATATATATTGAATGTCTTGAACTATAGATTTACTAGCTGTGTTATATAGTGGCCAGTTCTATGTGTTGTAAAAATGGTGACAGCTTAAAGTGCAATGAAATATAATTTCACAAGTTATTTCAGCAAAATAGTTTTATTTTTAAGGATATTAATATGTTTATTTATTCTGTGAAATAAACCAAAGAGATTTTATGTGCTAATAATGAATGGAGAGTATTAGGAAGAAGGACACATAAGGTACTGGACTGATGTGTGTTTGTGTATCATATATATTTGGCTTTGGATTGACAGCAGAGCAACAGAGACATAAAAGGATCAGTTAACCAGACTCTTGGAACACTCACTAACCTAGGAAGCAGAGTTATTAGGTTAGGGTTCTGCCTCTGTTGCAATTTGAAATTGGAAAAGTATAGGCTGGGTGCAGTGGTTCATGCCTGTGATCCCAGCACTTTGGGAGGCCGAAGCCAGCAGATCACAAGGTCAGGAGATTGAGACCATCCTGGCTAACACGGTGAAACCCTGTCTCTACTAAAACCACAAAAAATTAGCCAGGTGTGGTGGCGGGTGCCTGTAATCCCAGCTACTTGGGAGTCTGAGGCAAGAGAAATCACTTGAACCTGGGAGGAGGAGGTTGCAGTTAGCTGAAATGGCGCCACTGCGCTCCAGCCTGGGTGACAGAGTGAGACTCTGTCTTAAAAATAAATAAATAAATAAAATAAATTGGAAAAGTATAATTAGGATAATTACATAGAAAAATAAGGAAGGATCTTTTCAGATACAGTACTTATCTTTTTGGCTTCTGTTTCTCTCTATGTTCAAGTAAGGGATAAGTGAGTTGAGAATTAGTGACTTGCTAATTTTGTATTTAGAATGTAACAGATTTGATATTTTTGAAATGCCTTCAGATTCCTAAATATTTATAACCATCTGGATACCCCTAAGTGGGGAGAAGACAAAAGCAAAATAGAATAATGATAACAAACAGCTGGCACCTTTCCTCCTCCCCACCTGCATAGTTGAAAAACCCTGAGTATCCTATAATGCAAATGTGTACTCTTAGGTAAAGCTTCCAGATTTTCCTAAAAACGCAATCATTTTAACACTTCTAGAAAGACATATGTATTAATCCCAGAGTTCTATACTCTATAAAATAAGGTATCATAATTAACTCAGTTTTATGACATCAGAGTCCTACTTGACTCTGTTTAGGTTTCTTTGGGAAAAACATACACAAGTTCCAAATTGGATAGACTGATGCCCAACACTTTCTAAACTCCTGTGGATAATGCTAAAAATGCCCTATTTCAAATAGATACTGTCAATTACTCATCTACATATTTGTTAGAGAAAAAAATACTAGAGAAAATACAAATACTAAAGCTTGTTAGATAACCGTCCTTTAAAGGATGTCCTGCTTGTTCTAGTTACATGATTTCTACTGTAAATATACTTTTAAAATGAAGTTTTAGTATGCCACAGATATATAAGCTTTTATTCTCATTTATCTGTAGAGAATTTAAGTGCCTTACCCAGAGAGAAAAATACTTAGCTGATGCATTATGACACTCTGGGTCTCAAACAATTGCCAGACATTTCTAGTCTTTTCCATTGAGTCTTGGATTTCTTCCCAAATCTGTGCTCATGTCTGCCACAGCCAATTGAATGGAACTGACACTGAAGTTGAAGCCTATTCACCCCAGATCTAATCAAATATATTTGGTCCATGAGAACATGAGATAAACTGATTCACTCTTAAAATAGCCAATCACTGCCATTGAACCAAAGCAATGAATAACCTAATCTAAGTGAAGGAGAAGTATCCTGTTTATTTTGTGTGGTTCCTGTTGATAAGGTTTTAGCAGAGAAGTGTGGGTTTTAAAATAAATGCTGTGTGCTGACAAAGTTTTGAAAAACACTTTTAAGCTTCATATTAAAATTAATATTTCATTTCTATCCATTAATATTTATATGCAATGTAACATAACATTACATGTCAAATATTTGTTATTTTCAATAGCTATTTGTGGTTAGGTTCTCAATTTTATAATTAAATACTTTCAATTATTTCTCGATATCAACTTTTATTTGGTAACTTTAATTCCAGATAGTAGTTAAGATAATCAGTAAGAAGACAAAATTTGGTTCAAAATATTTTCTCAATTTTAGTTAATGTTTTTCACATATCATGAGATAGAAATATCTTCCTTTTTAAAATATTTTCTTTATTTCAATTTAAGAAATTTCAATAGGTTTTGCAGAACAGCTGTTGTTTGGTTACATAGGTAAGTTCTTTAGTGGTGATTTCTGAGATTTTTGTGCACCCATCACCTGAGCAGTGTACACCTACCTGATGTACAATTTTTTATCCCTCAACCCACTCCCACCTTTTCCCCTGAATACCTAAAGTCCATTATATCATTCTTATGCCTTTGTGTCCTCATGGCTTAGCTCCCACTTATAAGTGCGAACATAACGATGTTTGGTTTCCCATTCCTGAGTTATTTCACTTAAAATAATTGTTTCTAACTCCATCCAGGTTGCTGCAAATGCCATTATTTCATTCCCTTTTATATCTTAGTAGTATTTCATGGTGTATGTTTGTGTGTGTATCACATTTATTCCAATGTGATATTCCAGTAGTATTCCAATTATTCCACTGTGATATATATGTATATATCACATTGGATATATACATATATATGTATATATCTCATATTTATTCAATGTGATATTTAGTAGTATACCAATGTGAGATATGTATGTGTCTATTTAATATATATATATATATCATATTTTCTTTATTCACTTGATTAATGGGCATTTGGGCTGGTTCCGTATTTTTGCAATTGTGAATTGTGCTGCTTTAAACACACGCATGCAAGTGTCTTTTTCACATAATGACTTCTTTTCCTCTGGGTAGATTCCAAGTAGTGAGATTCCTGCATCAAATTGTAGGTCAAAATTTAAAATGTTATAAACCAGGGATTCATCATTTTCTTTTATAATTTGAAGCAGGTGGTAGGCCAAAACTGGCCAAATACATTGCCATCGTATTTTATCTATTCAGACAAGTAAATGAATTATTGTTTAGCAAAAATTTTTCATAATCTTTTTGCACTTTCCAGAAAAATTAAAAGAAAAATTCAATTACGAAAAGAAAGATGTACTTGTTTGAATATTCTATTTCCAGACTGACATTCTCAAAAGTTGATAATACTAAGTTGTCTTGCTTACATTCTTTTTAGAAATTTGGGGGCATATTGTTCCAGTCCAAAACTTATATTTGGTTTTGAAATGGACAAGACTGAGCTGTGAGGGCACAGTCTGCTTTATATATTGTTAAGCTTTTTAAAATAGGAGAGAAATATTATTTGTTTCTGCCTCTACATGAAATATTATGTCCAGAGGCAGGGAAGTGACAGTGAACCCTAATCTGTCTTATACCTAGATGGGTTTCTGTTATAAAACCTTGAAAAGAAAAAATACACATATCTCAAAACTTGTTTTCTTTATTCTGAATACACCACTGAGATCTAAGTACCAGATCAAGCAAAACCCATTTCGGAGTCTTTTGGGAGACATTGAGAATAGACTTAATGTTATTTTTCTGCGCCCAGAGAAGAAACATCCTGAGAAAATATAGTGTGATGGCTATGGCTAATGAAATATTTGATTCCACATGTGTAGCTGTGCTTACTTTTATTCGTTACTGTCTTATGATTACAAAGCAGGTGAAGCTTTCAATCATGTTTGAAAATGTATGCTTAAGTTGATCTATTGTTTAGAGTTAGGCATTGTGAAAAAAAGCAGTCTTGGCTACTTCAGTATAATTACATTTTTCCTAATACACTAGCTTTCCT
Source organism: Homo sapiens (assembly GCF_000001405.40). Classification (NCBI taxonomy): domain Eukaryota; kingdom Metazoa; phylum Chordata; class Mammalia; order Primates; family Hominidae; genus Homo; species Homo sapiens. The sequence goes on along the minus strand of NC_000005.10, from coordinate 19,948,900 downwards.
TAACTTGCTTGAGTTCTTGAGCAAACTCTGGGCACATTTAATATATTTTCTTCACCCTTTTATTTTGAAATAATTAGATATCCACAGAAAGTTGGACAAAAGTACAGGGAGATCCCATATACTCTCCATTCTTTCTCCCACAATAACATCTTGCATAAATATAGTATGCCATGAAATTCATACTTGTACAATCTACGAAGCTTATTCAGATTTCTAAAGTTATTTGTACACTTATTTGTGTGTGTGTGAGCGTGCATGTATATATAGTTCTATGCAACTTTGTCATCCATGTAGCTATACGTAACTACAATCAAGATGCAGAACTGCCCTAGCACAAGCCTCCCTTGTGCTGCACTAAACAGAAACCCTTACAGAGGGCAACCGCTCCTATGTATTTCATCTCTATGATTATTTTATTTTTAAAATGTTATATAGTTTCCACGAGGTTTGTCCAAGTCGTTGCGTGTATCAACATATCATTTCTTTTTATTGTTGAGTAGTATTCCATCACATAGATAATTCAGTTTGTTTAACCATTCACCCGTTGAAGGACATTTGATTTAACTTTTGACTTATTATAAACATTTGTGTACAGATTTCTACAATAACAAAAATTTTCATCTCTCAGGGATAAATACTCCTGAGTAAAATTGCTGCTTTGTGCGATAAGTCTATTTATAAGTTAAAAAAATCCTGACAGATTAATTTAAGGAGTGGATGTCTTGTTTTACATTTGTACCAGTAACACATGAATGATCCAGTTTTTCTATGTCTTCATCAACATATTTTTACATTAGCTATTCTAAATGGTGTTTGTGATACTGCATTATGGACTTAATTTACACTTCCTCGATAGCTAATGATATTGAACATCTTCAATGCTTACGTACTCACTGTATATTGCCTTCAGTGAAAGGTCTGTTTATTTCTTTTGCCCATTTTCTAATTGGATGTATTTGTTTATTTGTTTACTGTGAGATTTGAGAGTTTATTATATATTCTACATAAAACCCTTTTGTTTGATGTGTGGTCTGCAAATATTTTCTCACTGTCTGTAATTTTCTCACTGTCTCTTTAGCCTGCTAACAGAGTCTGTTGAAAAGCAATAGTTTGTATTTTCTTTTTTTCTTTTTTTTTTGAGATGGACTCTCACTCTGTCACCCAGGCTAGAGTGCAGTGGCGCCATCACAGCTCACTGCAATCTCCACCTCCCAGGTTCAAGCAATTGTTCTGCCTCAGCCTCCCAAGTAGCTGGGAGTGCAGGCGCAGGCGCCACACCTGGCTATTTTTTTTTTTTTTTTTTTTTTTTTTTTTTGTATTTTAGTAGAGATGGAGTTTCACCATATTGCCCAGGCTGATTGCGAACTCCTGAGCTCAGGCAATCCACCCAACTCAGCCTCCCAAAGTTTTCAGATTATAGGTGTAAGCCACCACTCTCGGCCTGTATTTTCAAAAGAGTCAAGTTTATTCTTTTTTTCTATTATGGATCATGCCTATATATATCCTGAAGATTTTGTTCAATGTCTTTTTTCCTATAAAAGTGTGATTTTATAATTACATTTGAGCCTTTGATTTTTTTGTGGGTTAATTTTCATACAAGGTGTGAACCTTATACTAGGTCATTTCCAGTGTGTATGCTTTTAATTTTTTTTCTTACCTTATTTCCCTAGCTAGAATGTCCAGTATTATGTTGAATAAAACTTGTAAGAGAAAACATCCTTGCAATTTTCCTGACCTTAGGATAAAAGAGGAACTTAGTCTTACTTTATTAAATACAATGTTGTCTGTAGGGTTTTTGTATATATGCTTTATGTAGTATAGGAAGTATCGTCTAATTCTAAATTTCTACAAGTTTATATAATAAATGTTTTGGGATTTTATTGAATGCTTTTTCTGTATCATTGATATGATTGTAAATAATTTTTTTCTTTATTCTGTTGATATGGTGGATTACATGGTTTGATTTTTGAATATTTAACCAGCCTGCATATCTTGAATAAACCCCACTTGACCGATGTAAATTTTATACGTTGCTGAATTAATTGCATAATACTTTGTTAAGGATTTTTACTCTTAAGTTTATGAGACAGATCAGTATGTTATTTTCTTGCTTTGTACTATCCTTTTCTGGTTTTGGTATCAAGGCAATACTGGCCTTATAAAATATGTTGGGAAATGTTCCTTCCCCTTCTATTTCCTGAAAGAGATTGCATACAATTTGTGTTAACTTTTCTTTAAGTGTTTGGTAATTTTCTTAAAGCCATCTAGGCTTGGGAGCATGTTGGATATTCAGGTGACATATTCCAACTTGGTTAAGTTTCTTTCTTTATCCTCCCCATTTTTAAAGTATAATATTCTCAAGTATTTTCTTCGGATTCATTTAGCACCATATCAGATGATGTTCATTTTGATTAAGCAGGGAAATAGGGTCTAAAAAACTCATAAGGAGTAACACAGTCTATTGCATAGATCTCTGTTTTTACACATCTCATTGTTTTTCTTTCCTTTCCTCTATTAACATATTATTTTTGTTTAGAGTGCTTCCTTTAGCTATGATTTAATGGTAGATCTACTGAGAGCAAATTATCTTAGTTTACTTGCTCTGAGGATGTGTTTATTTCCCCTTCCTTCCGGAAGGATGTTTCATTGAATACTGAATTCACTGTTGACAGTTCTTTTATTTAATCACCTGAAATATATTATGCTACTTCCTTCAGGCCTCGATGGCTTTAGATTAGATATCTGCTGTCTTTCAAACTGGTATTCTCTTTAGGTAAGACACCATTTTTCTCTTTGCTTTTATGAGTTCTTTCCACATTCTTACCTTTTACTTTTTAAACTCTAATTTGTCTTGGTGTGGGTATCTTTTGGTTTTATCCTGTGTGAGCTTCTTTCCCTTTCTTGATGTATTACATATTTGGTGGAGCGTGCAGCAAATTATTTCTTTGAGTAATTTTTCAGTTTCATATTCTTTCTCCTTATTTTTCTAACTCCAATGACATGAATATTAGATCTTTTTGTGTTGTCCCAAAAAATCAAAATGATTTTTGAGTCTGTTAGTTTTTTAGTCTTTTATTTTTCTGTGTTGACCAAATTTTTTTGACTGGTTCTAAATTTCACTGATTCTATGCACTATCATTTCCACCACTTCTAAGGACATCCAGCATGGTTTGTTGTAGTAGTTACTGTGTTTTTCAGTTCTATAATTTCCATTTGTTTGTTTTCCAAAAACTGTTATTTTTCTGAGATTTTCTATCTCTTCTTCTGTTTCTGAGAATTTATAATGGATTGATGAAACATTTTCATTATGCCTGTTTTAAGATATTTGTCAAATAATACTAAAATCTGATTCATCTCAGTATTGATGTTAGTTGATTGTCTTTCTCATCAGATTGTGGATGTCTCCCTCCCTGCTATGATGACAGGTTTTGGATTAAATCCTGGACTTCTAGATACAATATTAGCAGACTTTTGATCTTATTTAAGTCATTGATTTCACCATTCAGTTGCCCTTCTTTGGCTTAGTGTGTAGGTTCTAGCCTTCTTTTGTGTGCTAGAATTTCAATGTAGTTTTCAGATCCCTTGCACTCTTTGCCTGTCTGCTTCATTTTCCTAGCACTTCTGTATCCCCAGCTTGATCCCTGCTTGTGTTGCCTATAGGTTTCCTGAGCTACCTCCTGGAGGTGGAAGGGAGCATGTAGGAAGAAGCTGCTGGGCTTGCTAATTCTCTTTCACTGGTAGAGGACTGGCAGACATTGGGCCTGGATATCCATACACCTCTAGATGGAGGGCTTGAAGATACCAGGCTTTACCACTGTAGGATAATCAGCCTTACCACCACCATGAATGTGGAGCAGAGATTGGGGGATCCACACTTAGTGTCTATTGGGCTACTCCGTTCTTTGTCATTTGGCCAGAGAGGCAGGCTGTTTTTATTTTGGTGCTGATGATTTGAGGTTGTAGGCCTCCCTGGTGCCCAATTCAAATGTAATGGTAAATGAACAGAAAACCCAGACAAGCCACTGCAATCCCGTTTCTTGAATCTTGAAGTCCCCAGCCTGGTACTATTTGTCTTTCCAGCTTTTGGAATCCTTTTATGGCTGTCTATTGTGTCATTTCTTGAGTAGTTAAAGTTAGAGGGAGCTACCAAAAAAAGTGAATCTATACCATCTCATCTGGGCATGTGTAATACATATTGAAGAAATGGACATAGCATGTATGTATCCATATCAATAAACATACCAGCTTAATATGCTGATATTAATAAGACAGGTAGCTCATTTTCAACAATGATATTGAGTGCAATAGGCAGAGGACAGAAAGAACTACAAAAACAGAAACTACTATCATAAAGTACAATGCATTTCTCCAGGCATGTGCAATATTGAAGGGAGTTGAAGATTTATATCTCTATCTTCTCAGCCAGTCACAGTAAACATTCACCACTCAAATCAAAAACTTAGTTTTAGGAATGGTGAATCTAGTACATTTAATAAATTATATACACACTTTAGAGACTTAGGTTTTTCTGAGTTTTATGTTTTACCAATTAAATATATAGTTTCTTTGTTCCCTTCAATGTTAAATTAAGTGGAATAGGTAGACTTTAGCTGTTTCTATTTCTGGTAAAATGTAATAATATTAAATTATATAAGACAGTTAAAACTTCAGGTAAAAACAAAACAAAATTGATAGCAAATGTTTTAGTGGAAATTCCATTACTAAACCAGAGGAGTAGTGGGAAACGAACAATCATCTGGAGATTAGAAGAAATATATTAAATTGGAAAAGGAAAAAGGAGAAGATGTCAAGGAGGTACATTCATCCTGACCTCTTCAATTCACCTAGCTCTTTAAATTAAAAGTGAATAACATTTTGTTTCATCTTATTGGTTGAATTAGTTAACCTGGTATTTATGTTCCTGGTATTTGGTATATTTGAAGTCACAATGAATACATGTAACTACTGATTTTTGGTAATACAAAATAGCTATTAGAAAAAAACTGCTTATATTTCATTGCTTTTAGAATTTATTTTTTATAAATTATCAAATAATAAGATCTCCCCAAATAGCACAGCATTGGGTATATTTCTTTAAGGGGAGGTTTTAAATATTTATTTTGCTATCTTTTTCATGTTAAGATTTAATTACAAATAGAACACTATAATACTCTAAAGGGTCAGGTGTCAGGATATTCGAGTGTTTTTTTAATTATTCATTGACTGGAATCCTTTGGTCCCAATTCTCTCTAAAAGACTCAGGATATTATACAGTTTTTACATGTTGGTATGAAAAAAGGTTAACTTGTTTGTTTTTATTTTCTGTAAATGAGATCTTAAAATTTATGGCAGATGATGGATCAGAGGACTGTTATTCAAATATGACATTTAAATCACATCTCAGTTTAGAGCTTGCAATGGCTTTCATATCTTGACAAGATTGGTTATTTACAATCTGAGCTCTATCTTGGGATTCATATGTTTGGATTCCTTCTATATCTCCTTGAAATATTACATTTAGCTTCATGTTTCCTCCCAATTCACTTTGAGAACTGAATTACTTAGATAGATATGGTGTAGTGGAATAAAAATGGCATTTAGATTCAAGAGACCACATTTGAATTCTAACTTCACCATACAGCAACTGTATATGCTTGTCAAATCCTTTAACTTCTCTGATTCTTACTTTTCTTACCCCCCCAAACAACAACAACAAAAAGATTATTACAATCATTTTCCCTCTGGGTACCTCACAGTCTTGTCAGGAAGATGAATATGGGATGATATGATGTAAACACACTTTGGGAATTATTATATTATGATCACTGTTTCTAAAACTGTCTCTTTACAAGTAACTTGCAGCTAGATAGAACTAAGCTCAAAGAGGCATCATGCTGTCATGAGGCACGAGGGTCACCTGGCAGAGAGTATATCAGAAGACAGCCTTAGCCCCCGACATGGGTCACCCAGTCCCATCTCCAAGGCCTGTGTTTGCTATGTGCCAGTAATTAAGCCCTAACAGTGACAAGAAATCCAGACCAGCTGCTTCCTCGACTGCTGCTGAGAGTCGGGGCATTTCTTGACAGGGGCTATGCTCCTGAGGTTTGCCTCATACTTCCACCTTGACCTCTATTTTCTGCTCACACTTTGCTCTATCTTTTGAACTGATGTCAAACCAAAGCCTCATTCTTTAATCTGTCTCCAGAAAGCCTTAAAGGAGATAGGTCAAAATTAGATAAGAAGGGTGACATCTATCAGCTTGTGGAATTCATTTGGAAGGACTCAACCTGTGGGCTTACTTGTTTCAGGAAAACATGAGTAAAAATGGCAGATTGAAAACCAGAAGTCAAGGATCAAAGTTACCCTCCAGGGATTTGTAGAATGGACATATTTTCCGTGGTAAATTTGAATATTTTATAGGAATATCGCTCCCTTGATAAAAAGCAAAAGGATATTTTATTTGTATATGAATTGAGAATCAAAGAGACACTTCTAAATGGTAGCATTCTTCATTCAGCCGTCAGCAATTCACAGCTGAAGTAGATTGTACTTATTGGCAAGGGCCAAACTTTAAGCACTTTGATGCTAATTTAACATATTCCAGGAAAGAATGATAATCCATTGAAGGAAAATCATATGTGCCTTAGTGCAGGGAATATGACCACACTGAAATTCTTCTTCCAAAAGGGTGTCTGTATCCTCCTGATATTTCAATACTAGTTGGGAATGGAACATCATCCCCTGTCAGAGATCTTCATAATCTTGATCCCTGGTTTAATATACTTCTTGACCCTGAACCATTATTTATCTGCTCTTTAGGTCTTATTTTTTTGAAGTCTGCTTTCCTGATTATGTCTTCTTTGTGACCTGGACCTAAACATATCTGCCATGTCTAGGCTCATATAATGCTCCAGAAGGTCAACTTGAAGGGAGACAGTAGTGTGCAATGAAATGAACATGATTGAGAAGATGGAACATTCACTTTAGTCTCAGTTTTTCAACTAGCTTCATTTATGATCTTAGGCAAATATGTCTGTCAATGAATCACATTTTTTATACCTTAGGAGTTAGGCAGGGTAGATGAGGATTGTTTTTTGTTTTTTGTTTTTTTTGAGAGGCAGGGTTTTGCTCTGTCACCCAGGATGGTGTGCAGTGACACAATCACGGCACATTGCAGCCTTCATCTCCTGGTTTCAAGTGATCCTCCTGCCTCAGCTTTCCAAGTAGCTGAGACTACAGGTATGTGCCACTATGCCCAGTTAACTCTTTTTTTTCTTTTTTGTAGGGATGGGGGTCTCGCTATGTTGCCTAGGTTGTTCTCAAACTCCTAGGCTCAAATGATCTACCCATCTTGGCCTCCCAAAGTTCTGGGATTACGGACATGAGCCATGGCACCTGGCCCAAGGAAGTTCTTAAAACATAATTAGCAAACAGTACAGAGTACATGTTCACCTCACTGGCAGTAAAGTTGGACTACTTCTACTCAGTCCCGTCTCAACCAAACATGTGCTATGTGCATTTTAACAAATTAGTTATCTTATTCCATTTGTGCTGTTATGACAGAATACCAGGAACTGAGTGGCTTACGAACACAGAAATTCATTTCTCACAGTTTTAGAGGCTGAGGAGTTTAAGGTCATGATGTCAGCAGATTCCATGTCTAGTGAACACCCTTTTCCTGGATTATAGACTTCTCACTCTTTCCTCGCATGGTGCAAGGGGCAAGGCAGCTTTCTGGAGTCTCTTTATAAGAGCACTAATCCTATTGATGAGGACTCCACCCTCATGCCTAATCACCTCCCAGAGGTCCTACCTCCAAATACTATCATATTGGGGATTAGGTTTCAACACAGAATCGTGGAGAAACACAAACATTTAGTTTAAAGACTTTACTCTCTCTGAACTTTTCTTTCACCCTCCCCCTTTAGGATGGGGATACTATTTTTTAAATAATAGACTGGAACTTTTATTAGGCATTAAAACTATAGAACTAAACAAGGAAAATATAGTTCCATTCTGTATCTTGAATTCTACTTGGGGAAAAAATATGCAAACAATACAGAATAATTGGAGACTTTTTGTTGCTATTGTTGTTGGTGGTAAGTGCTATGAAGAAAATAAACTAGTACTTGGAGAAAAGACACTAGAGGAAGGGCTCTATCTTAATCGGGGTGATTAGAGGACCCTTCTCTGAGGAGATGACATTGACAGGAACCATGAAAACTGAGAAGGAACTAGGAAAAAAATAATCTCTAGATCCACAAAGGCCAGTAAGTGAAAATTTCAACAAAGGTCTTCTTGGTCAGTGGTAGGTACTGAAAAAAAATTGTGTGAATAAGACACAAATGATGATTTATGCAGGAAATGATTTATACAGAGCTACATAAGCCAAATAGTAAATTTGGATTTTTTTCCTAAGTGTAGGTCTCTTCGATACACATTTTTGAAATAGCAGTCTGGCTGATGTGTGGAGAATGAGCTGGAGGCAATATCTGAAAATTGAAGATCAGTTAAGAGAAGAGTGCAATGAGTTAGGACAGAGAAGCTTCTGCTTTAAATTAGGAAGATTGTAGAGGAGATAGGGTCACATGTAAGCTATATTTTTACAATATTTAGAACCTATTGACTTGGTGGAAAATATATATTATTATTACTATAAATACTATAAATATTTACTTTATCTTTAATATTCTCAGTAATCAGATGAATAGTGGATTTTATCTTCAAAAAGTTAAATATGCTAAGCCTCTGTTATGAGGCTTTCTTTTTTGAGGTATAAAAATAAAGTTAAAAGAAAAGTACTGGTCTCTATATACATAAGTAAGAAAAAAGTGACAGGTTGATGCATGTAGATGCAAATATTGAAAACATTCAGCTTTTCTTGCACAATCACTAAAAACTTGTTAAAATAGGAACTATGCATTTTTGCTTGTACAACTAGAGTAAGTCACATAAAAGAAGAAAGAATTCCCAAATTTTGGAAGCCTATGGATTCTTATCTATTACCTCACAAATATATAAAGCATTTAAATTAAGTAAAGTCTCCTTTAAATTGATGAGTCTTTCCAGTCCAAAAACTGATGAAAATTTTATGGTATTATGAACTATTATTGAGTTCTCAATTTAACAAATCGAAATGATCACCAGTATACATCATTCCATACCACAAGATGAAAGCTTTGCTTTACATTATATAAATTTCATTCTGTTTCAAGAATGGAAAGAAAATATCTTGAGTCTAATTACTCTATAAAAGACAAAATATTTTCCAGCAGTATGCTTTAATTCATGATTAGTGAACACGGAGTTGCAAATATAATTAAGACAGAAAATTGTATCAAAAATTGTCAGCACTTTCAATCTACTTAAGTACAATAAAAAATTAGACACTTTTTAATCAGTGATGCAGTGGTGAAATCAGCTTTAAAGCTAAATAAACCTGGATTATAATTTCAAAAATAGACATTTTTAGAAATTAAATAAGTATATAATAAAAGGCTAGACTGCCTTTATTTGGTTGCTTGTAACATTGAGAAAGGAAATTTTTTTTATTGAATTTCACAAAGACAAGAATCACATTTAAAATTATGCCATTAACCTTCAAAAAATATATTTGCTATAGACTACTGCTAGATTTAAAGTAGAAAAGAAAAAGAAAAAGTATAATTATTAACTGTTGTTGAATAATTCATTTCAAATAAAATTTACTGACAAAGTGTTTTGATCCTCATTGGTAAAATTAACAAAAAAGATTTTTCATTTATGAAAGGACACTTAAATAACATATTATATCTGAAAGTATTAGTTCTATCCTCTAAATATTAATTACCTTTCTTGGTATATAAATTCAGTTTTTAATGTAATTAAATACATTTGGAGCATCTCTTTGTTTATGAACTTCTTAGAAGTTTAAATTAAGATTAAACAAAAAAATGGTCCAAATGTATTTAAGTACATTAAAAATTGAATTTATATTAAATACATTTGGAACATTTCTTTGTCTATAAACTTATTTTAAAGTTTAAATTAGAATTAAACAAAGAAATGCTCCAAATGTATTTAAGTACATTAAAAATTAAATTTATAACTATTGAACTACTAGTGATTTTTTTAAATGAGAACATGTCTGTATACAGAGTACCTTTATAACTTTAAAAGGCATATAATAGGCAAGCATGTTTATTTTTTCTACATTTTTTGGTCAACATCATCTAAAAATACCAAGATATATACTTTATGTCCTGATAGTTATTTCAGGAACAAAGCATGAAGTAGAAAGTCAAAGTTAGCCATGACATTGAATATGGTAACTAGAAAATATGAATAAGAAGAATAACAAGTCATATTCATGAAATTTCTGATGACATATGTGATTTATTTTGGTAATATTTACTTAATTATTCTAGCTATAAAATGAGATTATAAATGTATGTACCTTATTGGGTTATGGAGTGCATTTTATGAGAAGGTGTCTAACTGCTGAAAGTTGCCATTGCTAAATGCTCAATCTAGGATATCGGAAGTCATAATAATAATAAAAAAATTAAAATAAATAAACTTGTTGTTTCAGTCAGGAAGTCTGAAGTCTAAAGGATATGAGCAGAAGTTAACCATGACAATAGAGTAAGTTTTCCATAACCCAGCATCATTGAGTCCCTCATCCCTAAAATTTCTCTTTTCCTTTTTCCACAATCTTGGAAGGTTTCACAAGTTTCCATGAAACATGGTCATTACATTTCAGTGACTCCACTGCTTCACAGTATACACCCTCTAAATCTCTAAATTCAGTTATTTTTAAACACCATCTCCCAAAAAAAGTCTATGTATCCATTGTTTAAATATATATATTTAAATATATAAATATATATTTGCTATGTATATGCTATATATATAGCAAATATATTTTATTTGCTATTTATATACACTATATATATATATAGCAAATATATTTTTTCAAGGTTAGTGACATAATTTGAAATGTGATTCTTGTCTTTGTGAAATTCAATAAAAAAAATTTCCTTTCTCAATGTTACAAGCCACCAATAAAGGCAGTCTAGCCCTTTATTATATACTTATTTAATTTCTAAAAATGTCTCTCTCTATATATATAACTGCTGAAATTTTTTTGTTCTTCAAGGATGTAGTATTTCTAAGAGGAAGTCTCATTTCTCTCAAGCCCTCTTTGAAAAAAAATATGTACATATATATAATGCAATAGAATAGGAAATGTGTGCTGCCCATAGTGAGGCTAGGTATTGTTCGGTTATACTTTCTTTGAAATTGTACATTGTGTGTTTCTGTGTATGCAGGTCAGTCTATATGTGTGCATGTGTGGTTATATGTTTGTGTGCATTCGTTTGCTATAGAAAACATATTTGCAATCAAAACTAATTGAAAAATTCCATTGTAATGTCTGTTTATTTTCTGCAGATATTACTTAGAGTTTCTGTTTTCAATATTGGTATTCAGTTTAATCCTGTTCAGCCATTGTGCCTCACACACATCAGGGCCATATGTAAATCACATCTTCACTACCCCACCATAACACCTCCTTGTTACTTTCTTGTTGAGAATGCCAGTTCATATTACATTGCAAGTGCTCAAGAGAGACTAGTATACAGAATGAAAGAATAATTGCCTAATCAAATGAATGAGTGATAGGTGTCCAGAACTGGCCCTTTTCTGTAACCATAATTATATAGTTACAAAAGACCCTTCCCACCTCAGTTTCTTAAATTTCTGTCCCTCAACAGTGTAAACATGAAGGATATAATAATTTTCCAAATGTCTATAATGTTTTAAACTAATAAAATTGGTCATCTGATTTATAACATTGGTTTTCAAAAAATTGCTCTAACTTTTAATTTATAGTAACATATGAGTGTACATAAATACTTGAAAAGAGTATATATGGCCATGTTTATAATTACAGTGGTATTATTACTCTAAGAAGTATTTTTTGAAACTGAAAATCACAATAATTGCAGTATCTGTATCTATATGTATAATATTATTACATCTATATTCATTTCTAACCTATTTTTTAACTTATTTGTCAGTTTCTATATTTTATTTTTAAATCTTGAAACATGAAATTTCTATTCACATAAAATAAGTAAATGAATTGGACATATATTTTAAGAGGAGAGTGTTCTAAAGATAAGTTTAGGGCTATTTTGTTTAAAACTTCAAGAAATATATTCAGAATCTCAACATTTTACCCAAAATGTAAAATTTATGTTATACTAGAGCTTCTAGTTTTTATTTTTTTTCTTTAAAGAAAAACATGACATCTAAGAAGCAAAATTGTGGCATATTTGTAGTATCTATTAATTATAATGAAAACCTTAGAGTACCTATTTGACAGCTCTTTTTGTGAAAGTATACAGCACATTATTTTTAATCATTGTTGTATTGCTTTAAAAATTTTAAATTCATGGTATACAGTGTTTAAAAACATAAAATTCAGAGTAGTTCAGGTTAAAGGACTTTCTGTTTGAACATTCCCATGGCTTTCCTCAACATTTTGTCCTAATTTTTAGCCAGAGAAACAAACATCATTTATAATTAATTATTTTTTTAAAAAAGAAAGTGCTCTTTAACTTTCAAAACATTTCTTGTTGAAAAATTAAGCTAAAACAAAAACAGGCTGTTGCACTTTTTATACCGAAGGGGAAATTTTAAAAAGTAACAAGGCAACAAATGACTCAGAAAAACACATTTTAAAATACATTGGAATCAATTGTGTGACAGAAAGAGCACAGGCAACTTTCAGTGTTACTGAGAATAACAGAATTATTAAAACTTAAAGCCTCAGTGTTAAGATGCTGTGTTGTATCACGCTAATTATATATGGATTTTTTAAACATGAGTTTTCATCACTATGATTATGCAGAACTTCCTATATGTGATCTACAGAAACTGGGAAAATAACAGCTATTTCAATCATACAGTCTGGAACAACAGTACTAACAGGTGTGACTAAACAATTAAGCGAAACACATCAGGAACAAAAAAAAAAATCACAAGTTTGGAAATGAGCATTGAGAAGACATTGGGACAGAGAGAGAGTGAGAGAGAGAGAGAGAGAGAGAGAGAGAGAGAGTTCCTGACTGTATGTAAAAGCTAGCTCAGTGCTTATGAACAACCAATACATTAAGATTCTTTATTTTCCACAGTAAAAAAAAAAAAAAAGTTTTTAAATACAAAGGGGATAATGAATCACTTAACAAAGAAGATACATTCTGAGAAATGCGTTGTTAGGTGTTTTTTTGTCCTTGTGTTAACATCACAGAATGTGCTTAAACAAACCCAGATGGTATAGTCTACTACACACCTAGGCTATAACGTATTGCGTATTCCTCCTAGGCTACAGACATGTACAGCATGTTCCTGTACTAATTTCTATGGGAAATTGCTATACAATGGTATTGGTGTATCCAGAAGTATCAAAACATAGAAAAAGTGTGTACATTAAAATACTGTATTAATAGCAAAATCTTATAGGACCACTGTCATATAAGTGGTCTGTTGGTGACCGAAACCTCAATATAGGGCACAGAACTGTAACTGAAATCGCCTAGCTTACTTAAGAATGTCTATAGAAAATATAGGGAAACATACTAAAAGTAGTCAAATCAAAACCTGTTAATTCTCATCTTTCCAAGTTGGGACAAGTAAATGTAAAGTTGCCTTAAGATGTAAGAAGCTGGTCATGAACAGGTATATTTCTAATGAACTGTAAGGGTCCTTAAAGTTTTTGAGGGTATTTTCTTCTGGAGGTGCCGGACAAAGAGTCAGCTAACAATGAAAGAACATCCCCTGAAATAACAACTTACTTCCTCTTTCTCAGCTTCCAAACTAAAAGTGGTATTTGAAGACTGAGACATAATCATAGGCCAAGAAAACAAACTTTTCAAAACCTCCTTATACATAAGGACATATGCTAAATAAACATGATGTATGGATCCAATTGTTTTCCTCTCCTCTTTTTATCTGGGTTTATTTTAACAAAGCAATCAGGACTTAGGATAAAATAAAATATGAAAGACCATAACTAGCCACTTTGATAGATCTAGAGTTTTTTGACTCTATTATTCTGTGCAAGGTTATTAATAAAATGAAATCCATTGTCTAAACATTTGCAAAAAGATGATAACTATAAACAAAGGCAATCCTCAGTGTGACCACATAGCATTGCTGAGGGAGTTAACTAAGACCCCTGTATCTTTACATCAAAGCCAAATTTAATCAAAGAGCCCCTAGTGCATATTCTCAGTGCATGTAAAAGCTCTTTTTTAGTTTTATGAAATGGAAGTAAAAGTGGGCCTTTAAAAAACATGTTTAAACATTTCCTCTGGCCTGCTTTAGGCTTCATTGTTAGCAAGAATTCTTTAGGGAACCATCTGTCTGTGTGTGAATGACCTCCCCATACCTGTTAGAAAGGGAAGGCTTGTGCATAAATATAACAGAAACATTTAGGAAAGGTAGAATGAGAGCCCACTGGGTTGTCATTATCCCTAAAAGAGGGATGCTTAGACCCAGAAATCTGAAATGCAATTGACAGTTATATATGAATTCAGACTTATGTCACTGGACGTCCATGAAGGATACAGAAATCATCCAGCACATTAAGTCCTTCTCACATCTAATGTTCATAAAATAATTCATTTATTCTTTTATTTCCTTTCTTCCTTTTCTCTCTCTCTCTCTTTCTCTTTCTGTCTTTTGTTTCCTTCTTTCCTTTCTACTCTTATTTATTGTATTCTTTGATAACACATTTTTACCACCTGTTGTCCTAAGTACTAGGATTTACAAGTGGGGAAAATAATCCTGGCTCTCATGGAATTTATATCTTTTGGAACTACCGGAACTGGAATGAAGAATATTAAAATTTAAGATGCTCTTAGACATCCAAGTAGCTATGAATTGTTGCAATTTGAACATTTTAGTCTAGTTCAAGGGATAGATCCAAACTAGAGATAAAATTGGCAAGTCAATACTATATGTTTGTTATTTGAAGCCACAAGAGTACATTTTATCTCTTTCCTAAATGACAAAAAAGGAAAGAACCCTAGAAAATGGTCCTTTTCACCATTTTAAGGATCAAGGGAGGCATCAGAAATGGACGCTAAAATGTGCCAGAAAGTAAGAAGAAAATTCAGAATATTTCAATAACTAGGAAGAAAACAGTAAGGAGAAATTTGAATCCTCCTATTTGGTCATAATGGATGAAAGCAAAAATTAACTATTGGATTGAACAATGGAGGTTGCTGATCTTGCCAAGAGTACATTAGGTGGAGTTATGATGGCAAAATACTGATTAAAATTGGTGCAAAAGAGAAAAATTGAGATACTAAATATAGGTAACTCCAAAAGTTTTGCTTTCAAGGCAAAAATTGGGACAATAGCTGGAGAAAGAATTTAGGTCAATACTGAATACATTCATATACTGGTAAAAATATGTAAAGAAAAGGAGAAAAATAATGATGGATGAGGAAAGGGGTGCAATTGATGGGATGCTTTTCTTGAGAATATAAGTGAAATGGAACTTAATGCACAAATAGATTACATGAAATTGCACAAGAGCACAGATATGTCTACTGGTAAATTTTTAAAAGAGGAAAAAGGCAGATAATACTAGAGGAGGTGTAAGTAGGTGGGCAAATGTGGTAGAGCAAGCTTATAAAAATTTCACTTATGGTTGTCTCTTCTTATCCTGGTTAAATGGGAAATATGATCATCAACCTAGAATAAGGATTAAAGGGGAGAATTGGTGAAGGTTTAAGATAGTTCAAAGGACAAAAGTACCAGCCAGTAGAGAAGGATATTGAATAAAGACCTGCATTACAGTTATGATTAGGTATATATACCTATAAGGTATTAGGTATTATTATTACCTATTACTGTATGTAATACAGTATTAGAAGCCTATGTTAAGGGCCATATATTTAATAAGAAACAAGTAAAAATTACTATGTGGATTCTTTTTCAGTCATTTTCAGTTGTATGTACAGATACATGGAGTAGACAGAGTTGCACTTTATCAGTGTCACAATTTAGTCTAATGGTATATCTAGGTATGTAAAGAGCTAATTAGACAAGTGGTTTGAGCATGTATGCAAGGGAATATTTTTAATAATTAGGCATGGGATGAAGAAAAAAAGGCAGACAGGATGGATATTAAGTACTATGAAAAGGTAGTAGGATCATTGGACTATTGGGTCAGGGACAGATAAAGATTTGTTAAAAATTAGTATAACAAAGTGAATGAACTGCAAAGATTGGAGAAGGTGGGGAAAAGGTGATGCTTGTAAATTCAAGGTGTGTGTATTGTGGGGAGAGGGGCGGATTGTAATTATTGTTAAGACAAGGCCTAGTGGATGACCATTGTACTGTTGCAGAGAGGGAATGAGATAGGGGATAGACAGCTATCTTTGATGAAGAGGAAGTAAAGACATTGAGAAACCCAGCATGTTAGGAGGGGCATCTACATAGATTTTTGATGGGATTGTTGTAGAGAATATCTGAGTGAGATTGTTTTTTAAAAAGGAGCTAAATAACACGCGTACTTTAATAAGTTTAGATTCTCTGCAAAATATTCTGCACATGAGTATAAAACATCCTTTCCCATGTTGATACATTTCTGTGAAAAGCTTTGTGCATTCCAGTAGTGTGGGCTTGTGTGTTTATTGTTTTCTCATCCTCCAAGTGCCAACGTGTCTTATAGTTCTCAGAGAACTATAAGATATCCCATATGCCACATATGGAATCTACAGTTCATTCTCATTGGTTTGGAAAGTGGTGTATTCAACTTTTTCTTTTAGTTCATACATGTTCTTTCAATAAATTTAACTTCTTATAAAAAATGTACTTTAGTGGAGTGAAAGATTGAGTGAAGAGAACAGAGTGAGGAGTTGGAGTGATCTTTGCTTAAAGATAAAGAGAGGTGGCATAGGATAGAGGGAACAATGGGAGGAAAAGGGGAAAATGAAACTTAAACGGCAGGGAAATTTAGATGTGTATATAGAGAGATGAACACTCAAAAAGCCAGTTAAACAGGTACCTAAGCACAGGGAGAGATGGATATAGGAGTTAATATAAAGCAGAGAGATATATAAAGGACTTGGGGAAAGAGAAAGAAATTTGGAGCAAGTCTTATATTTCATTCTGTGTTAAACAAAGGAAAATATTAGTTGTTGCATTTTCCCATTTCTATATATGAAAAGTTTTTTTTCACTTCTCATGCATTTGCCCAATAAACAAATATTAATAATATAGCTTTTGTATCTGATCTCTAACCAGACACCACCAACAGTTTTTAGACTTTCTACTTTGAAATGCTGTGTCTCTGAGAAGTTAAAGGAATCAGTACTTGTATTTATAGCAGAAAAATTTTTATTAGGTAGTAACAGCAATGGCCCTAAATATTTAGGGCTCAATTTTAACCACATTACAGGGAAAATATTTATTCCAAATGTTTTAATGCATGTTCACTTCAAAGGAAAATAAAATTTCATTGTTGGAGTCAGAAATGACTTTTATTTCATTTAGGAACTGTAAGACAGAAAAAAATTAGCTGTAGATATGTGTTAGCATGTTAACTAAGTTGACACTATTTTGACAGATGAAATCACAACTCAGATTAGATTGAGGAGACATAAAATTGCCATTGAAGAATCTTGTATTTGAACTAAAAGGAATAATTTTATTAATCAAGTAGATAATATGAAGGGTTATGATATTCTTAAATAATTCTTAAATGTGACAAAATTAGTGATGTAATTTTTTTAAATGCTATACCTCATGTGAGCTCACTGGCATTGTTTGACTAATACTATTTGTCTACTTAAGTATTTCAATATTTGAGTACATCGTGAACCAACCCATGTAACATATATCTAAATCATATCTGCCAAGATGTAGCAACTGAGAGTCTTGATCACACTTCCATTCTTAAGTTTATAAGGACTTATAATTCTTAATTCTGTGTTTCGAACTGAGTTTCTGTTATTAAGCTGCAGAAACATCTTAAGACTTTGGTTTATTTAGTTTGACTGTTTCTTGATTTTTTAATTTGTCTTCCTTTGTAAATGAAGACATGATCATCTTTAAATATATTACGGATCTTATGCACTACAAGCAAGGGCAGTTTCATAAGCTTAGAGATAGAGTTTATGATTCGTTTTCAGCCAGCTGTTTCCTTGACAGCACACTAGGCCTCTTGCTATTGAGCTGCTCTGAACTCTACACTTGCTACCTTACCCTTTTATTTATCTTCTCACGTACAAGTGTCCCCCGGAGCTTTGCGGAGCCTCTCCCATGGTAACCACATGATCAATATTTCCTCCTTGATTGATATGATTGTAGAACACAAAATGCTACTGTGGAAAATATAGGAGAGCCTTCTCTGTTGTTTTTCACACTTCCATAATATGAGAGAGATTTGTTTTTAATTTTCATTTTAATAATGGTTATTTCCATCTCCAAGTCATTTTTCTTCTCTTTTCACCTTTTTCTTTAGCCCTATGTTCTAACTCTGCTTCTTCAGTGTGTACACATATGTTTCTCCTTGCTCGCTCTCCATTTAGCTTTTTAACACAGTCCAGAGGCAATATTTGATAGTAATTAAGAATGCATACTTTGGCAGTAGATTCCCTGAGTTGGAATCCCAGGGTTACTAATTAGGGATGTGTGTATGTGACCTTTAGTATGTCACTTATCCTCCCTTTGTTCCGTTTTCTTCATCCATATGCTGAGAATGATAATTATAAGCTGTGACCCTTAAGGTTCTTTAAAGATTAAATGAACTAGTGTTTCAAAGAGCTTTGAATATTTGCCTAACTTATGCTAAACCTTTTATCAATGGGTGTTAGCTGCCATTCTTATCTTTTACCCTGTCACTGTCATTATACATCTGAACCTATTTTTTCTTAGTTTCTACTTCAACCTCTACAGGAGCCTAAACCAACGTTTTTCCTGCTGCAGAAAGCCATTGTGTTTTAATTTTCAGTAAATTATTGGAAATACAGTCATCCAATGATGACCATTTATGAATATAAAATGAAAGTTCAACATATATAAATAAGTTGGGCTGATTCCTTTTACTATAATGAATGCAAATAAGAGGTAAAGCCTAGCCTACAAAAATCAACTTAAGATGGTTACATTCACACACCAACATTTAAGGCATTGATGTATTGAGGCCTTTTTTTGTGTTTAAAGTCCTTGCAAGTCACATCCTAAATACCATGCAGACTAGTCCCAAATTCTGGATTTCTGTATATTATTAGGGAGGCATAACACATGTACATCAAAATTAAAAATTGTTTGACAAAGCCAATTGCAAGGGTATGAAAATACTCTGAAGGTGTCCGTAATGCCTCCTGTCTACTCTGGGCTGATACCATCTAAATATTTATTCTTCGTCTCAACATTTCGTATTTCCTCCTTGTGATTTCTTGCACTAATTTTGCACAGAAAATGTTTGATTCAGTCTTGAGGAGTCAGTCTGTTTCCTAATGCTTGCTGTGTCCTCTGCATATAGTAATGCTCTTCTGTTCTTATGGAGCATGGAGCATTTAGGTGCCATCAATACCTATGTCTGATGCCAAACTAAACCTAAGTGATTAAGTCATTTGATTAAAAGGCCTGTCTTTTGTGTTGTCTAATACTGAGGAGAGGAAGAAGTGATGACTCATAACCATGAGATTGCTAGTCACGAAGATGAGTCAGGGCCAGTTTTCTTTTCCATTGATCATATAAAACATGAACACATGTGTACTTTGCAGTCCTAGAAACTTTCATTAATTATGAAAAGTTAGAAAATTTTGTTTACAGTATTTATAAACTCTCAAGGAATATTATGGAAGCTTCACTCCCATGATGTAATTAAGGATGAAAACGATGTGTATGTGTGGCCAAAATCTGAAAAACAATAAAATAAAAATGATTTAGGTCTCTTTCAACCCAGTCTCCAGGAATGCCTCTGACTAAATTTCTTCATCTGTAAAATGGGATATTGCTAGTCATCATCTATAAGACTGTTGTAGGGACTAAATAAGATAACATATGTGAAGAGCTTAGCAGTGCCTGAGCCCCACTGTGCAGCCAATGCATTTATTCAGAGATCCTGAGTGCCAAGGTTTAAGTTCAGCTGATGATTTGCGGCAGTACACACTCTGGGCTGTTTTCTTCCCAGGTTCATTCCTGCCAATCCTCCCAGTGTTCTGATCTCTTTTGCTACTCTTAGCCCATTGTTCATTTCTTTCTTTTAACACATTCTCAAGCTCACACAGGAGTATTGTGTATCCTGTATGGATATGTATGTTACATTCCTGTATTGTGTAGCATGTATGGATATACATGCTACGTTCCATGTACTGATAGAACTTTCAGGATGATCATTTATTTCTTCCAAGTGAAATTTATACATATTTGGTGACTTCTAAATCAGATACAAAAGTAAGTCATCTTGACCATGCGTAGAATTCCCATCTTTTATTTTGTTTAGCAAAGTCTCATAGTTTTTGTATAATGCTTTCTGTGTGCCGGGCCTTCTTTTAAGTGTTTGCAAACATTAATTCATTTATGTCAGTAGTTTTTAGTACCGAAAATACAAATAACATGTGGCTGAGCAGCATATTGAGAAGAATTCTGTTTTAATAATATTGCTTTTAAATGTTTTGGCACAATTTAATTTGGTCTAAGTGTCTTTGGACTGCAGCCATTGAAAGCCAGGGCGACTCTCTGCAGGTAATTTGAGGGATCTTTTGTCCTCACAGTGTCTGGTTCTTGTTTGAGCTTCTCCATGACAATGAATCAGGACGGAGCCCTGGCAGGCTGTGTTTTTCAGAGCTCTGCATGACCAAAGAGCAAGTTGTGTAAACTAATAGATTACCTCAAATAAACACAACAAGATAGGATGGATTTAATAGACATGGAATCTCTTGTAGGCTTAGCAGCCAAATTCTCTATTTAAAGACTCAGAATCACAATGAAGCAAAATTTGGAAAAGGCTTATGCCATCTCAAGGGTCTGTCAGAACAGAGAGTACAATTTACTTGCAAGCTCCCTAAATGAATAAATATAACATCATATTGGTTGTTTGGTATTCTGGGAATAAACTAAGACCACATTTCTCAGGTTTTTTCTGACACATATTAGATTGATAACTTTTTTCTTTAAGAAATGAAATATTTTTATACATAATCTCCAAAAAATTACATGTCTGCATTAGAAAATAGCTGACCTGCAGTAACATTCATAAAAATATCATTTTGCTAAAATAATATACATCATAATAATTTATATATATGTGCTTTCATACTTTATTTCAGAATCATACATCTTTATTAAAGGAAATATGTTACTATTATTAAGGTACTGTCTATATACATTTAAAAAGTCAGTACAGTGTGGTCATTAAGAATTCAGTATCTGGAGTTGGAGACTTTTGAGATCAATTTCTGATGCTTTGAAGCTTTTTGAATTTGGCAGGTTGCGTAACCTCATCTTTTAAGTGAGGGCAAGAGTCAAAACTACCTCATAGAGTATTGTGAGAATGAAATGAGTTAATATATTCTCACCCAAACATGTAAGAAGCTCATGCCGCCTGCTGTGTCCTGAGTAATGATGTCCTTACTCTCTGAATGTCATCTCCTGTCTTGTGCCACCATTTCTAACACTTTATGAGCAGGTTAGCATAGCATACAAGCAGGATAAAATCTCAAACCCTTCAAAGTTATTGACTATATTGTAAGTACCCAATAAACGTTATCTAGAATTACTATTACAAATATAATCAAAAGAAGTCATAAAACAAGAAGTACTTAATGTAAAAATTCTCGACACTGTCAAGGCCAACAGTATGGCAACTGACTAAAACAATTCTGTAGCAATTCTTTAACGCTTATTTTTTCTTTATAAATGACAGAATGTTTAATTTAATTAGACTATGGTTTAACTATTTGACTCCTTCATTGAGGTATACCCTTATGCAAACCTTTTCTATCCTGAAAATACAAGTTATATATTTGTATCTATATACATATTTATATCTATATATAGATACGTTTTATTTCTAGGCATGAAATTGTGAAATATCTTGGCATACCTTTTCAGAAAAAAACAAAATTGGAAATTGATACACTGATTTGTATTTGGGTAGCAGAAGAAAATTTCATGCCTTACCAAATCATTTGTAAACTATCTAATGGAAAATAAATCAAAACAATGAAATCATACTTGAGAGTCAATTTTATTACCTATAATATATATTACATTATTTAGTTAGAAAGATGAAGCTGTTTTGCTTGATATGGAAATTAAATACTGGAATTTACAAATCAAAATGTTAGCCTTATATTAACTTCAGTCTCCTTTTGTTTTGTTTCACTTTCTTTTTACAAAATTGAGAATATTTTGATTACCAAAGATAAGTAAGTACATGTAGTCCCTGTTTTAAGAACTCACTTAGCAAATTCAGATAGAAACACCTTTGCCCTGAGGTCTGTACAAAAGTTGGTTAACTGGATAATACAATGAATTGATGGTTGCTGATGTGTTAAAAGTTGTTATAAAACATATTTGACATTTTATTTGTTTTATAGTTTTAAAAGTATTTCAAGCATATTACCAGTGAAATTAAAATCACTGATTTATTAAGCCTCTAAAGCTCCTTCAGACTTTAGTGAATACACAGTTGACCCTTTAACAACATAGGCTTGAACGGTATGGTCAACTTATATGCAATTTTTTTCAATAAATACATGGAACAAATTTTTAGAGATTTGCAACAATTTGAAAAAAAATTGCAGGTGAACCACGTAGCTTAGAAGTACCGTAAAAATATTTTTAAAGTTGATATGTCATGAATAAAAAAAAGTTGATACTATTCCATTTTATTATTCGCTACTATAAAATAAACACGAATCTATTATAAAACTTAAAATTTATCAAAACTTATGCACACATAGACCATACCTGGTGCCATTCCCAGTTGAATCAACAAATGTAAAGATACAGAATTAAATCAGAACTGCATAAAAGAAATGATAGTACATACCATACTACTGTAGTAATTTCAGAGCCACTTCCTGTGGCTTATTTCAGTGAGCTCAATTGTCGTGAGTATCCACTTAAAATACAGTGTAATGGGAGGCTGAGGTGGGTGGATCAAAAGGTCAGGAGTTCAAGACCAGCTTGGCCAAGATGGTGAACCTTTGTCTCTACTAAACATACAAAAATTAACCATGCGTGGTGGCAGGCACCTGTGATCCCAGCTACTTGGGAGGCTGAGGCAGAGAATCGCTTGAACCCAGGAGGCAGAGGTTGCAGTGAGCCGAGATCATGCCACTGCACTCCAGCCAGGGTGACAGCAAGACTCTGTCTCAAAAAGGAAAAAAAAAGAAAAATGCAGTGCGATGCTAATCATCCCCATGTGATGAGTTCGTCTCCCCAATAAATTGCGGATCACAGTAAAAAGTGATGTCTTGCGTTCTTGCATATTTTTCATCATTTTTACTGCAATACCATAAACCTTGAATAACACCAGAAGACCCACAGGGAGTGCCACTAATGATCCTGGAAGTACTTCCGGAAACAAAGCACTCACATTACAATAAAATCTTATATGAATTGCTTTATACATACTGTAGCTTGAGGTCTGCTGCTGTGGGTGCCCTCCTCTTCAGGAAGACTCATCTTGTAAATGGGTGATGTAAACTTACCTTATCGATAAATGCAGGAAAGTACTGTACCTGTGTCTTCCTTATGATTTTCTTAACATTTTTCTTAGCTAGCTTTATTGCAAGAATACAGTATATATTCCATATAACATACAAAATAGGTCTTCTCTGACTGTTTATGCTACTGGTTCACAGTAGACTGTCAGTTGCTAAGTTTCTGGGGGTTGCAAAGTTATATGTGGAAATTTGATGGCTTAGCATCGGTACCCCAATCCCTGCCTTGTTCAAGGGTCAATTGTATTTTAAATGCCACTTTGTCAAATAGAGAAGAGGGCACAGGATGTTGAAGCTTAATTCCACCTAAAGAGTTGATCTATTTGCACGCTGTGGATGCTTCCTGGGCTCCACACTTCTCCTTGGTCACTCTCTGCTCTGTGTTCTTATACTCAGCCAGGTGCCACCATTCACATGACCTGTCTACTTCATAGAATTCACTGGTGTTTTACCTTGTATGAAATGATTCCTAATGTCCTATTAGTCAAAATTTAAAGTCCTATTGTTTTGTTTGTTTGTTTGTTTGTTAGTTTTGAGACAGAGTCTTGCTCTTTCGCCCAGGCTGGAGTGCAGTGCTGCGATCTGGGCTCACTGCAATCACCGTCTCCCAGGCTCAAGTGATCCTCCCACCTCATCCTCTGGAGTAGCTGGGATTATAGGCGCCTGCCACCACTCCGAGCTAAACTCCAGAGATGGGGTTTTGCCACGTTGACCAGGCTGATCTTGATCTCCTGACCTCAGGTGATCTGCCCTCCTCAGCCTCCCAAAGTGCTGGGATTATAGGCGTGAGCCACCACAACTGGCCAAAGTCCTATTTTTAAAAAGCTAAAGAAAAATAAAAAGTAATGCAAAAAGATATCTTAAAAAAATAGAGAGTGGCACTGAGGAGGAGAGGAGAGGACAGACTGCATGCTGCATTGTTGATTTAGAGACAGGATTTCTGTGCCAAAGGAGCATGACTCTCAAAGCTTACCTCTCCCCTGATTGTTGCCCTTTTCAACTGAGTATAGTTTTTGTTTAATAATGTGTTTATGATAAATTCATAGTTGAAAACTATGATATTTATAGCTTTACTCATTGTATGGGTTATATTCCATGCAATAAAATGTAAGCCAGCTATGACAATGCTTCCAAGAAAGTACCGGTCTCATAGTTTCACTGAAACACACACTCTTCTTGCCTTTTCAGTACACAGTACAGCTCCTCTGATTGCCACATCTCACCGGGGGATGGGGTGGCACTTGATCTGCAGCCACTTTTCCACAAGAGGTGAACAACAGCTTTAGGCAGTTGTCAGAATTTCTGCAGCCTAAATGTGAATCTTCCACAAGCTATCTTTTTGAGAAGAGTATATTTTGATATAATACGAAATCCTTTAAGTTTGGCTGCAGATTTTTAAAAGGCTTTGAGCACAATATTTAGGGCTTTACAAATAACCACACTGTCTGTTTACATATTATTTAGCTCAGTTGTTTGTTCTGAGTTAGAGATATGATTATAAGAAATATAAGGAGGAGAGCCTGTTCAGCTTCTCCATGACTACTCCATAAGGATGTATTCTTATATTTTAATTAGATGCCAGAGTCTAGAATCATATTCTTTGCATTTTTTCTGCTACACATGTGAAATTGGAGGTGCACTAAGAATGGAAAAGCAAATTAAATCTGTAGGTAAATGACAAAGATAGTTAGTGGAAATGATCTCTTCTAGATGTCTATTGATGTGTAACAAACCACTCCATACTTACCGGTATCAAGCAACAACTTTTATTTTTATGCTTAAAAGTTTCTGTGGATCAAGAAATCAGACAGGGCTCAGAGAGGATAACTTGTCTCTGTTTCATGTTTTCTGGAGCCTTATAAGGAAAAAATGTAAAAGTCTCAGGGTTGTCTAATTGGTTGGCTGCTGAAATCATCTGGAGGCTTCATCATTCACATATCTAGGCTTGGGGCTGAGATAGTTTGAAAACTGGGCTTAGATGTGCCTGTCAGTTAAAGAGCCTCATGTGTCTTGGGCATCCTTACAATATGACAGCAGTAGGGTTTACATTATGTCTCAGGACTCAAAGACACAGTGTCACTTATAATGTACCCTATTGCTCGAAGAAATCATAGGTCTGACCGGATAGAAATAGATGGTACAGAGACGTCACTTTATCATTAGAGGATGGTCACATACTTCAAATTAAAAATGCCATTGAATCTAAATTTTTAAAAAGGATATTTGAGAGGAGATATTAAACGAATATATAATTTGTTTTCAGGTAAGTCAATTTCCTTCCCTTCCTCCAAAAATAGCTTGAAATGCAGGAGCGTCTTGAGTATGCTACCAAGAAGAAGATGTATGATTTTTCTTGTTCAATTCTTTTATTCTTCAATAATTATTCATGTGTTCTCCAGTAGAATAATGGAAAAATAAATGTCTCAAAGGTTAGTAAAATTAAACACAGAGAGTTTAAACGAATGTCCAGGGATGAAAGAACAATTTCCCGGTATAGAAAAAAGATTAAAAGTAAATTCACCCAAGTACATAGCAGCTCAGTGATTTTACACTTTTTCTGTCACAAGCCAACAAAGATCTTGTTAACAGCAGATAGAGAAAGGAGGTTTGGGTTGATTTTCATGTCAAAAATATAAATCTGACAGGATCAAAGATATAATATTAAGCTGCATGATAGCATTTGATGCTTATATGACAGGCTTGATCTCTTGTAATATCCACAAAATTCTTTGGGTGAAATAAGTTTCATGCTCCTATATTTAACATTTGTGAACATTTTGATCATGTTTTCAAAAGCACCATTTTGTAGTAATTTCAAGCTAATTTAACCATTTCACAACCTGATGGATTAAAATATTAATATTGCTTCAGTTCACCTAGCTAAAGCAGAAACATGCATAACACAAGAAATGGTTTAGTTTAAACCCTTCTATTAAATTATTATCACTAGCAGTTTATTTTATATTAGAGGGATTGGATTAATTGCTCAAATGAAAAAATTCAGTCTCCTTACAAACTGAGATTCATTTTGACAACTGACTGAGAAAAATCATTCATTCATGAAACTGTTAATTCAGCAATGCTTTCCATCTTCCAACCCCTCCACCTTCACATTCTCAGAAATGATCTGATGTTGGTATTAACTTTCTCCATTAGTAAAACCAAAGAGACGTGTGACAGACCTACCCTCTAGGCCAGAGGTTTTCAAAGGTTTTCGATTTAGAATCCTTTATACTTAAAAAAAAAAATCATCGAGTTAGCCTTTGGTTATATGGGTTGTATCTAGTGATATTTATTGTATTAGAAATTAAAACTGGAGAATTATGAGAATTTCTCTCTTCATACTTGATTATCAACATAATTTTAAAAATTATCTTTACTAATTTATCAAGTGAAAAATATGCTAATTTTGAACTTTTCTACTTATGACTGATGTTGCATATCCCTTTTTAAGACTTTGTTTCTTTATTGGTAAAATCTCATATACTTGTCTCATTTTTATATTGAGATTTGAAGTTTTCCTCGTTTTTACAGGATTTATAGTTTTTAATATAATTAACAATTGACTTTGATACGAATTACAGATATTTCTCCATTATGTCTTTAATTTTGGCTTTTTTTTTTTTTTTGAGACGGAGTCTCGCTATGTTGCCCAGGCTAGAGTGCAGTGGAGCGATCTCGGCTCACTGCAAGCTCTGCCTCCCGGGTTCACACCATTCTCCTGTCTCAGCCTCCCGAGTAGCTGGGACTACAGGTGCCCGCCACCACTCCTGGCTAATTATTTGTATTTTTAGTAGAGACAGGGTTTCACTGTGTTAGCCAGGATAGTCGCAATCTCCTGACCTCGTGATCCGCCCGCCTTGGCCTCCCAAAGTGCTGGGATTACAGGTGTGAGCCACTATGCCCGGCCTGTTTTGTTGTTTTTAACGGAATTTTTTGAAATGTATATAATCAGATTTATCAATCTTTAATTTGTCACATCCAGTTCATAATTACAATTTTTTTCTGACTTTAAGGGACAAAAAGTTTGTTCTATTGTTTCCTCAAGTGCATTTTTTTGTGTCTAGCTTTTTGGTCTTTCCAGAATTTATTTTCATATCATGGTTGAGGTAGTAATCTAATTTTATTTTTTTGTACATGACTAACCAAGTATCACAATACTATTTTTTAAATGACTCATCTTTCCCTCATTGCTTGGAAATGATATTTTTATCATGTACTCTATCCCCCTGTGGTGATGTGTGTGTGTGTGTGTGTGTGTGTGTGCTCTTGTGGGTATACATATATATAATGCTTAGTTTGTCCTCTACCCCTAAATTTCAGAGATGAGAAAAGTAAGGTTAAATGGGGCCGGGCACGGTGGCTTACGCCTGTAATCCCAGCACTTTGGGAGACCGAGGCGGGTGGATCATGGAGTCAGGAGCTCGAGACCAGACTGGCCAACATGGTGAAACCCCGTCTCTACTAAAAATACAAAAATTAGCTGGGCATGATGGCGGGCATCTGTAATCCCAGCTACTCAGGAGGATGAGGCAGGAGAATCGTTTGAAACCAGGAGGCAGAGGTTGCAGTGAGCCGAGATCGTGCCATTGTACTCCAGACTAGGCGACAGGGCAAGACACCGTCTGAAAAAAAAAAAAAAAAAAAAAGTAAGGTTAAATGTCGTGTCTAATCTGTGTCATTTAATAAACATCCTTTTGTAGGAATGCAAATCGGATAATTGGTGATTCTAAAGGAATTGATGGTAGTGACAGCAATGACCTTACTGCATAGCTTGGGCCAAAACTGTTGTCTGTTCATATCCAGTTTTCAAGTCCTACTTGTTGCTATGTTATTTCCAATGAATTAACATCTGTTTCTGTTATTGATTATTTAGAATGGCTGAAATTAAGTGATTGGTTTACTTATTAATTTCTAATGTCTAAATTATATAATAAAGTCAAAATAGGATTTTCTCTAAGATATGAATTATAACTTCGAAATTTCAAAGATAGCAAGATTTTAACCAGGTTTTAACAAAATAATGTTATAGTACTGAAAATATTATGGGATTCAAAAACAGTGCTTCCTAATGTTGTGTCTGCTATTACTTTAACATGTTTCTGAAAGATAAAAATTGAGCCATAAAGTGATCTATTAATATAGATTTTGCAATTTATTAGGCCTTGGTCTTCCTTTATAGTATAGAAATGACTACTATCTAGATATAGTACAAAAGAGAAGATAATTAACATAGATATGACACTTTAATATGGTTAGTCTTTTGCAGGACTGCCTCTTCTTTCAACTTTTTTTATTTGTATATGAAAAACCCTAAAGCAGAAAGCCAACTGTATGTCCACACTATATAATAATCCCTTTCTCTTTATTATTATATTATCACCATTATTTGTTTGCTCACAGTGAATTGAAATTTCATCACATATTCAAAGTAGAAATGACTGTTATTTCTTCCATCAAATAAGTTGATATCTGTAAAATATTAAATAGTATAAGTGGTCCTCTACTAGAAAGACAAATTCCATATCTACTACCCTTATAATTTATTTCAAGTTACAATATTTCTGATATCAAATGTGTAGGTTTTCCACATCAAGCAATTCTCCAATCCTTTGCAAACATCAACTGGATGTTCCACAATTTAATTTGATTCTGATAGTAGCTACCCGACGTTAGCACAGATCCCACAGGTTATGGGCTTAGTCCACAAAACTGCTCTAAACTTCAGATACCTGTCACAAGTAGTGGGTATTCAGCTGTCCAACTTGGCTGCAAATTGGGAGTTCCTACAACCTATTCCTCAAGCTCAATAATTTGCTATAACCATTCACAGAGCTCAAAGAAATATTTAATTGATGTTGACCTATGTATTATACATATAATAAGGATTATAATATCATAGATGATACAAATGAACAGCCAGATGAAGAGGGACACAGGGCAGGCCTGGCTGGGTTCTGTGCACAGACGCTTGTGAGTCTGTGTAGTGGGGGTGCAGCTCCCTTCTGGCACGTTAATGCATTCACCAACCTGGAATCTCTCTGAACCCTTTCAGTTAGGGTTTTCTATGGGGTTTCTGTTACATAGTCAGAGTTGATTAAATCACTAGCCATTAGTGATTTACTCAATCTCCAGTCACTCAACCATTTCCAGTCTGGGTGGGGCTGAACGTTCTAATCTTCTGGTCATATGTTTGGTTCCTCTGGCAACCAGTCCTCAATCTAAAGCTATCTCTGGGTTTTTACCCACCAGACATCTCATTAGCATAAACTGGGATGTGCATGAAAGAGGTTTCTTATAAATTATAAAAGACACGCTTATCACCTCTGTCATTCAGAGGTGAAATTCCAAGAGTTTTAGAAGGAAAGTGTGTCAGAAACCAGGAATGATGACTAAATATGTATTTATTATTATATCAAAATATCACAACTTATTTCATGCTTTTGAGATCTCTTTCCATTTTTTCAAAATGGAATTTTAATAAAGTAGCTACAAAATACACCTCTCATAGCATTTGTTTATCCATTATCTACTAGAATTATTGCGGTTCATTTTTGTTGAAGGACATAGTGCCACTATGAATGTACCAGTGAACAAATGTGATTTCTGCATTAATATGTCCATGGATCTTAAAATATTACAATGTGACCTTAGCACATGTCATGATGTCATGATGAATTATGTTTATTCATTTGCAGAGAAATTGTTGTGGCGTGTTTTATGTTCCCTGGATTTTTCCAAAGGTTCTATGTATGATAAGTTTTGAAGCATAATTTCTTATATATAAAATAATTAAGTCTGATGATGGAGTGCAATTAAATTCAGTCAGTAAAATGCTAATCCATTTTTTAAGATAAATGTGTGTTCACATTATCTTGAAGTGTACTAACTTGTGACAGTCAAATTGTTGTCATGTTGGAAGTTCTTCATTTTTCAAAGTTATCCTATTTAAAGTCAGAGATGAAGGCTGATGTTGACATAATTTGACAGAGTATATTTGTGGCACACGATGTACATAAGTGTTGATCAGTGCATAAAATTCACTTTGCCTGAAAGATCACCTGAGATACTAAAACATTAAGAGACATATTTTTTGGAGAATTATAATATTGCCCAGTTTTCTAAGCAATAATGCTCAGAAAGAATGATGAGTTCCTGAAGACAGAGGTTACCTTACTCATCTCCCACATCTCACGTCTCTGCTTCAGCTACCCAGGGATTTATTGGTATTTGCCCAATAAGGATTTATTACTACTTATCTGTCGTAGAGGTATAATTCAAATTTGTTGTGCTGCATCAAGGAGCTAAATAATAAAAATGGAATTTTTGACCACATTATGTTATGCAATCTAGCTCAGCACATATTTTTAGAGTATCAACTTTCAAAACACTCTTCGAGTTACTGAGGAAGTGTGACAATAAATAATGCAATGCTCTACCTTTGAAGAGTTCACAATAGGTTCTTGCCTTAATATGATATGTATTACTGTGCATCTGCATCCATTAGCTCTGGTTGACCCATGAGCGATACACGGAATGAATACCACTTGCTATCTTTATATAGATGAAGTTGCACCTAAGAGACTGGAAACAATGCTTTCCACATCTCAGGACCATTAAGCAGGGACACAAACATGCAAAACCAGGCAGTTTTACTCTTAATATACAGTGTTTGCTACTCTTTTAGACCATATTGCAGGAAACTAACATACCTAGTTGCTAAAAGTAGTTTAAACTTTAAGGACCATTGTTCTAAAAGAACATGCAAATATGACTCTAAAACCTTCACTGATCAGAAAAGAAAAAAAAGGGGGCGGGGGGGGAAAGAAAAAATTGAGAACAGGAGGAGAACGTAAGGAAGCCCAGAATAACATTTGACACAAAAGATCCCCCAATGGTTAAAGTACATGGAAAAATGGGTTCTGTTTACTATACACCAAAAGTTTTCCTTTTTTAAAAAATCCACAATTTGTGAGTTCTTAGAAAATAATTTTTAGAAGTCACTATGTATCACTTTTCTCAAACTGAACTCATTTACAAAAATATGCTATCATGAAACTAGTAAAATGAAGTTAATATTTAGACAAGATGTATGTTGAGTTCAAACATGCGGTTAACAGATTTTTTCGAAGTAATTTAAGGACAATTTAAAGAAGTGTAGATTGCACCAGTTTTTAATGTGTCATCATTTTAATGGAATATTTGCAAAAATGCTTATAAAATCAGTGACATCTTGATTAATGGGGCATGTTCCACAGCTCTTTAATTGGCCTTAACTGTATAAAACAGAATCTTAGCAGCAAATTTTGTTGAAGCATTCTTTATAAATATCCAAGTTAACCAAAATAGCTACAATTATTTTATGTTGGGTGAGAAGATCAAAAAATTAAACGCCCTTCACAGACTTGAATCATTGCTAGAACTTAACAGAAAAAAAATTTGTAAGAATAAATGTCAAATTCCAATTTAAAAAATAGAACTCTATTGTGTATCTACTAAATTTCAGGCATTATTGCAGAGACTTGGACTACCTCAATAACACAGGAGACCCTATTGCTGCATTCACAGGTCACAGATCTTATGCTGTAGCTGAGAGACACAGAAAATGAAATGTAAACAATATTTGGAAGGCAATAGAGATGTGCAGGTTAGAAAGTGTGGAGAAGGAAGAGGAGGATGAAGTTGGCTTTTGGTGTGACTGTGGATCCACAGGCTGTAGTCTTCAATATCAAGGTCAAGTGATGTCTCACTGAGAAGGTGGGGATTGAGCAAGAACTGGGATGAGAAGAGGGCGTAATCCCTGTGGATACTGGAAGATTTCTTGCAGAAGAATAGCTACAGTTTTTGCCTAAGGGGTAAGGACTCAGTGGTGAGCATGGAGTTTTTGAGGAAACTAGTAAGACAGGAGGTCAGAGAAGTAACTAGAGGCCAGATCTTGCAGTGCTCTATGGGCTGGCATAAAGGACGTGTGGCTCTTGATAGTTTTAAGCTGAGGAAGGATAGAATCTGATTTCTGGTGAAAGGATCCCTTTGGCTTCTGTGTTAAGATTAGACAGTGGAAGGGGACAAGGTGAAAGCAGAAAGGTCAGTTAGAAAGCTACTGTGAGGTGCCAGACAAAGAGGGAAGTCTAGAATCCTTCAATAATGGCTGGAGCAACTTAAAGGATTTGACATGAATAAGTCTGAGTATTAGTACAGAACTTTAAAATAAGGGAAGGAGTAATTTTTAGAGTCCAACACATACGTTCTGTTAATAGATTAATTAGAAAATACCTGTTTATTGAATCCTAACTATGATCTGGTCGCTGGACCAGGCATTTAGTAAGCATTGCCTCCTTTAATAAACATATATACAAATAGAAAATTAGAAAAACAAAACATAAAAGAAAATTAAAAGAAAAAAAAAACACCTATCCATCTATCTATGTTGCCTGCCATTTCAGACAGATAATTTATCTTGTAAACAAACAATGATATATATGTATGTTATAAATTCAGTATAATACTGTAAATGAATTTTCTCTTCCTTGTGATTTTCTCAATAACATTTTCTTTCAATAGCTTACTTTATTGTATGAATACAGTATAGAAATATATAACATTCAAAAATGTGTTAATTTACTGGTTAAATTATCAGGAAGGCTTCCAGTCAACAGTAGGCTGTTCGAAAATGTGTTTATTTTACTGGTTAAATTATCAGGAAGGCTTCCAGTCAACAGTAGGCTGTTAGTACTTAAGTTTTGGAAAGTCAAAAGTTATAGTAGGATTTTTGACTGTGCAGGGGTTGGCGCCTCAACCCCCACCTTGTCCAAGGGTCAGCTATAAAAGCAAAGCAGTCTGAGGTCTCAAACTTTGCCAACAGAAGAAAGAATGTAAATTGCTAATCAGGGAAGAACTTGAAGAAAAGAAAGACAACTGAGAAACGAACTGGGAAGGAGTAGTGGAAGACAGCACTGTCTTTCAAAAGCAAATTAGTAGAAGAGTCTCTAAAGAGACTAAGAAATCAAAGACAGATTCAGGCAGAAAATGCCATTTTTAATATATTTCTTAAAAGAAAGCAGTATGTTTTAGTGGAACATCAAAACTCCCTCATACCACTTATTTTCTAAAAGAGTGTTAAGCACAAATAATTCTTTCCTTATGGAACTCTATCACATAGGACATTTAGTAAGGTTAATTCTTTCCTTCGGGGAGGAAATAAAGTAATTAAGGTTAGTAGTTGGAAAAAAACTATTTTGATAATATCACCACAAAAAAATTGTTAAGTTCCTTCTATTATCATATTACAAATTTGGGGGAGAAATTTTTTTTGTATTTGTGCATTTCTTTTTAGAAGTGTTGTCTCCAGCTCTTAGGAAACTATTGACTTGATGTTTCATTTTGTTTCCTTTGGTAAATAGTGATTGATTCCTGGGCCCTAAAAAGCCAGTATTATTGCTAGGTGCTCAAAATGCATAAAATTCAAATTGATTATTTGATTCTTTTATCTTACTAGAAATTCATATTTCTCACTACTTTTACAATCAATAATCACATACACTAAAAGCCAAAAATTTAGTAGTGTGTGGATATATACATATACACTCACACATACATATATGTAAAGAGAGTATATATATACACATATATGTACAATATAAGTATGTATACAATTTAGAAGTGTGTATGCATTTATATATCCACACACTTATGTGTGTATATAGATAGATAAGTCCAAATATAAAAATAAGCAAACAATTGACTACCTGACCTAATAATGTCATGCTAATTGCATTTTCTTTTTTCTTTTACTGGGAGTATAGAGGGTGTCTCAAGGCTCTGGGGAGAGTATATAACTTTATACAGTTGATTTAGGCCCAGAGATTTTACATTACTGTAAATGCATATAACGGAATGGTCTTCTTTCCTTCAGCAGTAAAAGATACTAAAGGTTATGCTATTTTTACCCTACTGCATATAAGACACTATTAAATTTTGTATCAAACAACACATATGTATCCTAGAACACCATTTTCCCCCATTGACTATATCTCTCCATCTTATTTTGCATCTCAAAAAGGAAACAAAATAGATGCCTAAGCTATTTTAGTTTCCTTTTTGTGAGCTAAATAACCTCAATACAAGCACACTATCTGCTCTATGATCCTAATGGTCTCATTTTTTAGAGAATCATATTTGATAGAAGCTAAAATAATCGCATTGTTTCTATATTATTTTTCAGCATAGTTATTCCACTGCACATGAAGGTAGTTTTGCTTTATTTCTCATCCCTGTGATACTGTCAATTCCTTCCTCTTCCCCTAAATCTGCACCTTCCTAGCCTAATTGAGGAACAGAAGAGTTCTCAATGGTGGCGTAATTATCATGTATTAAGGAGATAACATTTTAATATGTTATTTCAGATGCTTCTCTAGAGTTTCAGACTTCTGGGCTGTGGAGGTCTCCCCTCCATCTTAGCTCAGCATCATTCTTTTTTTTAGATAGATATCATGTCTGATCTAAGTACACACATCTCTGAAGAACCACTTTCTATTCTTATAGGCACATGCACCTAACCTCGTGATATATTCTTGAACTGCCATGAACACATACCTACTCTCTGATTTCATATCAGGTTTGCAACGGTGATAGAAAAACTGTTTAGTTTGTTACTTGTTTGTTTTGACCAAAGAGTCTGGGAAAAGTCAAAGTGAACTGAAAATTTACAACCTTGGGAACTCAGCATTTGTGATCGAAGTTTCTAACTTTTTCTTGTTGCAAGTTTAATATCTTCTTCGCTTTCCTGTTTTACCCCTACACACCAATTCCTTCTAAAAAACACAAGGATAACAATTACATCAACAGATATGCTTTATTTGTGTTTTTCTTTCTAGAGAAAAACATATATGAGAAAAAAGAGTATGAAGAGCATTATATTTATTAATCTTATCTCATTTAAATTATTCATGTTTTTAGAGGTTCTTATAATCATGACTAATATGAGGGCCTAATTCTTTTTTAGCATAAAACATAAAAGTATCTAGTGTACACACTCAAGATGTCAATTTTTGCTTTTAAAAAATCGGTACCTCTTTTCTATCATTTTTCTTGATTCTTTCTTTCTCTCCACAGTGATGGATAGAAGGAATTGATTTTCTTTAAAATACCCATATTCTTTCTGCCCCTTTTCTGACCAAATGCTTCAAAGCCTTCTCATAGTCTCTAAGAAATGGCTAACTCCTCTGGCTGGCATTCAAGACACTTGAGAATCACCCAGACCCTGCTGCTTCCTCAGCCTCAGTGTCCTATCTTTGCTTTGAGTTGTCCTCATGGGCCGATGTCTTCTCCCTCTAAGAAAGCCCTGCTCTCTCCTATTGTGACTCTTGACACAGAGCACTTTTAGCTTCCCTTCTTTCCTCCTGCATTTCATTTGATGTGATTCATTCTTCAGGCTAAACTCAAATCTTTCTGCCTTTAAGCAGTTTTTCATCATTCTTCTATGCACACATTATCTTTCCCATAGCATCAGTTGCCTATGAATTTGTAAGATGAAATAGCTCATTAGCAGTAAAATAAATAAATAAACTCTTCTTCTTCACTTGCAAATGGAATAACATTCATGGGATAAAAGGGAAGCTTAAAATAGACAAACTAGTAGATGATCACTCAACTAAGTTTTGTTCAGAAAATGGTTTGATTTTATTCTCTACATTTGACAAGATTCCCCACTCCAGTTTGATATCTGGCCTCATTGCTCCAATACAGTGATTCTGTTTCAGAGAAACATGTCCTCTGTGTCACTAAATCCATGGATGCTCTTCAATTTTTATCTCCCTTAAACTCCCAGAGCCTCAGTACCTGATGTATTCATTTATCTTCTTTAAGGAAACTTCATGTGATGTGAATGAAACACACCTCTCTTCCTTAGCCCCTTCCTCTGAGACTGATTTGTTTCCATTGGCTTTGCTTTTACGAAGCCGTTAAGTGTTTTTTTTTTATTATTATTGTTAATAGCTAAACAATTCATGTCTTTATTTTTTCTTCCTCTATGCTCTCTTCCTGAGCACTTTCACACATGTCTTTAATTATTACCTGGAATCGATGACTCCCAAAGAGTAACATGTAACCTAGATGACTCCTTAGATTTCCAGAGCTGTCAATCTTGCCGCTTCAATGATACCACTACTTAACATCTCAAAAGCAGCTTATCTTCCCTTTGACCACATCTAAAGTGTAATTATCCTCATCCACCAACCCAAATATAGGCTGTTCCATGGTTCCCTGTTTTATGCCTTATGCAAAAGCTCAAGCAAGTTATCTAAAAATAACACTTTGAAACTCACTCCCTATTCTTCTATTCAGTTCACCTCTTTTATGGATATTGTCTAAGTAGGTGTGAACTACTATAACAAAATACCTCAGAGTAGGTGGATTAAATCACCAACATTAATTCTCACAGTTCTAGAGAATCTCACAGCAAGAAGAAAATGCTGGTGGATTTGGTTCCTGGTGAGGGCTGTCTCCCTGGCTTGTTGACAGCTGTCTTCTCTCGGTGTCCTCACATAGCAGGGAAAGGGAGGTTTGGTGTCTCTTCCTCTTTCTATTTGGGAACTATTATCATCATGGGAACATCACCGTCATAACCTCATCTCAACCTAATTACTCCAAAAGATCCCATTTCCAAATATCATCCAATTGGCAGTTAAAACTTCCACATATGAATCTGGGGGTGAGGGTGTGTGGATAGCACATGACCTTTCAGTGCATAACAGATATTATCTCCTAATAGTATAATCTTTCCCCTTCTCTCTAACTCTACCATCAACACTCTCTTCTAAACCATTATTCTATCTTATTTATCTGGACTCATAATCCCCTCCTCTTCCCTTGCTAAACAGAGGGAAGGAAGAGCTTTGTAATAAGAATGAGAATCAGATCAGCATGCTCAGCCACCAAATACCTTTCTATGGCTTCTCACTGTTCAGGGAGAGGAGTATAATCCAAAATAGACAGTCAGGCTGACACACACTTAGGTCTCCATACTCCATGCCCAACTTACCCTCTCCACCTAACTCCTTGCTCTTTCAGTGGCAGCCATGGTAGCCCTTTTTCAGTTTCCTATTGCTTACAGGCATTGAAAGATTATCTAATCTCTCTCTACCTGAAAATTTTCCCCTACCTCCAGTCTGCTTACTCAGTAGGTACCTACTTAGCTTTAACACATCAGCTCAGATGTCACTTCAGAGTCAATGCCTTCCCCAGGCCAGAGTAAGTCCTACTTTTTATGTCCTTACGTATATATCTTTTCCAGAATTTAGAGTATTTATAATAATTATTATTTATGCAGTTATTGGATTCATGTCTTTACCCCACCTCCTAGGCTATAGGCTCCAAAAGAGAAGGGTCTTTTTTCATAGGGTACCCATTTCATCTCCAATGTCCAGGACACGTGGTAAGACTTAGATAACTATTTTTTGAATAGATGATTATCATGTATGGCCTTCAGACACCTTTTTATTTTGATTTGATGTTTGTGCTACAATGAATTCTTAGAGTACTTATTTTGTTTCATAGTTTCTTTCCCATAGTGCCTATAAATCTTATTAATTATTAATAGAAGTAAAGAAAGATTGATTGATTGCCTAGAAATATCTCTGACCATATGCATTTGTGAATCCATTATAAGTGAACTTACATATAAGGGTACAACTGAATAGAGCTAAATTCTGAAAATAGGAAAAGCAGCTAAATCTCCACAACATCGGTTCATAATACAGAGCTTAATGGAGCGTAGATCCCTGCTGCTGTGTCCTTAAGGAAAATGTGCTTGTTTGCACTCTGGGGTGATATAAACCTGTACAGAGTGGCTTTTATTTAGGTAGCTGAGACACGTTAGAAGAATGATTGTGGTGTTGCTGACTAATTTGGGCTCTAGTTCACTAGAATATATATCATAATATATTGTATATTCTCAATAAATGTCAATAACACAAATTTGCAAATAGCTCTTTCCACATTTCCTCATCACTTCCCGTTTTGGCCACAGTTATTGAGCCACATTGGGGCTGATTTATTTCCTGAAAAGAAAAGAAAATATCCATTTCTGAAGGTTAACTGATAACATTAACAGAAGAGAAAAATCTACTTGGGAGACCCATAAAGGATGTTTATTACGGCAAGAATGAACTCACAGACTAAACTGAAGTTAATCTATGTTCATGGGTAAAAAAGATGAAAATGACATACAATTCAACGCATATGTAGTTTTTGAGTTTAAAAGTGTAGTAATTACTCACCAAAAAAGAATAAAGGAAAGCACCAGTAATCATCACACCATACTGATTTTATTTGGCTTACTGAATCTGTTACCAAATACATTTAACCTTCTTTGTCATTAGTATAATTTCCTGCAAACCTGAAGGAAATGATAGTCCGAAATAAGAATAATGATTTCAGACAGACATCAATATGTATAGATTTTTTTTTTTGCCATTTGACCTACTGGGCAACTTTGGCTTCAGACTTCTAATGCTGTAATAATTATTAATATAATAAAAGCATTCACCAAAAGTTTCCTACATAGCAGAAGTGGCTGGCTGGGCGTGGTGGCTCATGCCACTTTGGGAGGGTGAGAAGGGTGGATCACCTGAGGTCAGGAGTTTGAGACCAGCCTGGTTAACATGGTGAAACCCCATCTCTACTAAAAATACAAAATTAGCCAGGTGTGGTGGCATGTGACTGTAATTCCAGCTACTCGGGAGGCTGAGTCAGGAGAATCACTTGAACCCGGGAGGCAGAGGTTGCAGTGAGCCGAGATCACACCACTACACTCCAGGCAGGGCAAGGAGCAAGACCCCATCTCAAAAAAAAAAAAAAAAAAGTGAAGGAAACCACTTTACTTGCGTTCTTTTCTTTACCTTCCCAACCTCTCTATAGAGCTGTTTTCATTTAGGTGCCAAGGACACTTTTAAAAATATATTGTGGAGTTGCTGACTAATTGGGATTTCAGTTCACCAGGAAACGTGTCATAGCAGTTTGCATTTCCTCCATAAATGTAGAAAATGCAGAAAACGGCTATTTCTCCTGTCTGCACTGTTACTATTCTCATTTTTTAGCTAATGAAGGTAATGTATCTGAGGATAGGAGATGTGCTCCCAGTCAGTGAGCAATGTAGAGCTTATATGGCTGGTCCTGTGGCTGGCCCAAAATATGAAATCAAGTCTGACCAACTGACTCCAAAAGTTTGGCTCTTATCCACTGCACTGATCCACATCTTAGTGTAAATGTCCTAATAAACAGACATTAATATTTTTATTCCGTTTTGGATTTAGGGAAACCTGCAGTTTACCAAGCAGATTTCAATATTAGATTCTATGTTAGCATTCAGGCCTGATAAAATATAATTAATTTAATCATTATGAATGTTCATCCTCATACCACTGCTTACTTGGAAGCAATGGAAATCTCAGCTCAGATGAAAATAGGCCATATGACAGATAACTTGTTTTCAACATATTTTGTATGCACGGATAATATACTGTATAAGGAATAGTTGTGAAAACCTGGAAAAAGATGAATAAATTCTAAAACATTTTTCTAACAGTTCAATATCTCCCACTTCCCAGGAAGAAAAGTTTATAAAACTATACAAATTATTTTTAGAAGGATAGAATTTTATTGTGGAAAATATTAATGTTTCTTATAATTATTTGAAATTCAAGGTTGTCTATATTTTTCTTAGTATACCTTTTCCTCCCTCCTATCTAACTCATCATAGTACATATCTAACTTTAATTTAAGATTATGGGAGATGCTCACATAATAAAAACATTTTTAGTTAAATGAGATTAAAGTTTTCATTTCTGTATATAAATAAGAAGCATGTCATTGTCAATACTATAACACGCCAAAATTCTCTTGCTTTGAAACATAAAAGTACCTGAACTTCACTTTCCATGGAAGGAGTTATCATATTAGTTCCACTGGCTTTTTCCCCATCAAAACAAGGTAAATGAATGATTAAGTATTTCTGATAATTTTTATAATTATAGTAAATAAGCCTTCTGAATATGATTTTTACTTCCTTAGCAAGAAGAATACAAACACAAAGCAAATAGAAGACTAGCCTTTTAATGTTGCTAGGAAACGTCATTGAGAAATAATAAAGGGAAATTATACATTAGTTAGAAATGTCTGATTAACTCTTCCATATCCCCATTTAAGGATTTTAAAGTATATATACCAGGTTGCTAAATGTAAGATGTTATTTTATTTTAAGTCAAAAGCTGGAAATATTGCTGCTAAATATTGAATGAGTAGTTGATTGAAAATTATGTTTGTAAAGATCAAGAAAGTAATCTTTGAATTTAGAAAATTCACTAAGTAAATTAACTACAGACAACATATAATGATGTGATAATATTTTATAGAAATTAATGTCATGAATATGCCTTTCCTAAATTTTTCAGATCAGTTGGAAATTGTAGGTGAAAAAAAGTCAGTAAAAATATATTTATCATCATGATTTTCATTAGCCTTATGAGGCTATTTAAATTTTTATACCTCAGATTGAGCATCCTTAATTCAAAAATCCAAAACATGAACTGTTTCAAAATCAACTGTTTGAATACTGACATAACACCAGAAGCAGAAAATTCCACACCTGGACTCATGTGATCAGTTGCAGTCAAAATTTTGTTTCATGCTCAAAATTATTACCAATGTTGTATTAAATTAACTCCAGGCTATGTGTATAAGGTGTATAGAAAACATAAATGAATTTGCTGTTTATACTTGGGCCCCATCCCCAACATATCTCATTATGCATTTGCAAATATTTAAAAACAAAACCCCAAATCCAAAACACTTTTGTCCCAAGCATTGTAAATACGAGATACTCAACCTATACTATGATTTTTGACCCAAGTGCAAAGTGTATTGTTTGTCAATCTACAGACACGGGTTTGATAGACAGCATTTCTGAAACACACATAACCATGAATTTTTTTATATGGCAATGTCTTGCATTACTGACATTTTAAGAAGCCTAATCATATAATGGTTGCCACAAAGATAACCATAAAACAGGAATTTAACTTTTAAGTTAACTGACAATTTTCAGCAATCATCATGTTCTTTTTACATTTTAGATACCTTAGAGTAGACAAAACACTATTATTTTATTATTTATCATTTGAAAGTTATCTTTCTTTTCATTAAACTCTATTTACCTATAAAATGATACATCGCTTCATTTTGGTTAGCAGCTTATGATAGCTGATATATACAACAGCTTAGAGAGAAAGAGACAGACACAAACTTGGGCAGGTGATAGTTGTGTCTTGATTGGTTGTGGATTTTATTTATTTATTATTATCATGGCCCAATCATGGATCTATTTATATTAGTCTTTAATAATTGACCTTAGAATGTTGCAATGTTAACCATATTTTCTGTTTACATAGCACTCTTGCTATTTTGAATAGGTGAATGAGCAGGGATACTTTTCTGAATACATTTGTCAGAATTACACAAGTTTGAACAGCACTTCAAACCATCTTGTACAAAAGACTCTGTAACTTGGATTCTGTGGGTCCTTCATTTTGATGCGATAAGAAGAAGCCAAGAAGAAAGGGTTACAATAGTATGTTATCAAGGTGTAGAACATCTTCACTAGTAATATTGTTACATTTAGGTTAATCAGAAATATCTTTAATATAATTGTTATTTTATACATTTTAATTAGATAGGTGACATAAAAATAGATATAGATCCAGTATAGACATATTCAATTTAATAA
The DNA here is from genome assembly GCF_000001405.40 of Homo sapiens. Classification (NCBI taxonomy): domain Eukaryota; kingdom Metazoa; phylum Chordata; class Mammalia; order Primates; family Hominidae; genus Homo; species Homo sapiens. Next base: position 19,906,381 of record NC_000005.10, on the reverse strand, counting down.
ATTGAAAATCGTCATTAGGTATCTTTACATGAATCTTTAAACTTTAACCTGTATTACACATTTAGATGTAATATTAATGGGAAGGATCTGGGGTAGAAGGTGTTTATTCGAAGGCTCCTTTTTAAAATTATGAGACCTACATAATTAATGTCTATGGATTGCATTTCCTAGTCCTATGAAATCCCTGCTATCATGGAATTCATGTCAAGTTTCTTTTTTTAACCTCTTTCACTAGATATGGGAACTGTGGGCATCCAGTTTCCATTTTTCATATAATTAGCTAATCACTAATGAATGGATTAGTTTTTCACTATCTCTGCAGATTATTCAATTGAAGTTTGATTTCGGAAAACACACATTGTTGAAAAGTATGTTAATGACTAGAGGAGAAAATATAACTTGTTAACTAGCTTCAGGATATCTAGAAAGAAAAGATGGTATTACTGAGGATGGCTAACTCGCATCTAGAGTTGTTCTCAATTCAGAATTTTTTTAATATTATCTATTGCAGTAAATTCTATATCAACTCAGTCATGACTTGTCAGTCTTCCCTTTGATTCTCTGTCAGCCTTCATTTTAGATCATTTGCAAATCCTTCTGATTTTTTTTCTGATTTTTAAAATTGATTTTAATAAAGTTGTTTCACAGCCTGAGACTCACGTGCTCTATGCTAAGTCACCCCCAACTGACACTTCCTATAGCCTAACAATTATTTTAAAGGTTAAAAACAAGTATATATAGGTAAAAAAATAATATTATCATCATATTTTTTAGCTTACCTGTAATTAGTGTTGACCAATTCTTTTTGATGAATGAAGGTAAGAAAGTTTTTAAAAAGTGGCTATTAAACTACTAATCATACGTATACATATAAATTATATATATTTTAATGAATTGGATATGATCTAAATGTTTTATAAATCATTGATCATACAATTTATCTTCCAATATTTTAAATAAAATATTAATAAAAATAAAGTATTTGCAAGCCATTTCCAAATTGCAATCAGGTTGTGCTCTACAAGTTCATTTGTAAGCCACTGTTAGAATTTGGAACATATTTCTCCATAAAACCTGCATGATGAATGTGGTTAGGATACAAAACCAACCTGCAAGATTCTACCTAAATCAAAATGTAATTAAAATGTAGCAACAGTATTATTGCAGAACTTGGCCATTATTTATCCAGCTGCTTCTTTGGGAAACAGTTTCCAATTTCTAACTTGGAAATCGGAATGCTTGAACTTCATTTTTCTTTTCACATCTCTAGTTATTTGCAGAATTCTCCCAGCCTTACTCTAGCCCCACCTTTCAGAAGCTCCTACTTCAATAATATAAATTGAGGTTCTTTATCAGTATGGAGAAACATCTCTCAGCAAGAAACCATTTGCAGTTACAAGATCCTCATAAATCCCATGGTTATCTCTCAGACATGCATTTAAGACTGTACTCTGTTTTGTGGTCATTTTTTGAATCTCTGCATTTTTCAAGAAAGCAAATCTGCAACTGTCATGATATTTTTGAAGAAATTAAGGACCTTCCTCCTCCTGTTCCCACAATATGAAGATATGTTTTTATAAATTTGGGAAAGTAATACATGTGCTAAGCTAGATCAAAATCAAATTATAATACTTCTGTATCAACATAAAATTGAATACAACAAGGTACTTCAAATCATAAATCCAACACTTGTTTTTCAGATGAGAAAAGCTATCACCAAATATAGTAGTCATTTAGCCAAGTTTATGTATCTAGCTAATTTACAGAGCCGCAGTTAGACACAGAGTGATGACGATCTTTCACTTTACCCAAGAACTTACGTATAAAGAGATGTGTGAGTTTCTTTTTCTCTGATAATAACATTTCCCTAAGGTAGGCATAGATACTTAAATCTTATACCCTCAAGTGTCTCTCCAATTCCCAGTCTTCACAACTTCCCACAAACTGTCCCTTCCCTTCCCTTCTCTTCCTTTCCCTTCCCTTCTCTTCCCTCCCCTCCCCCTCCCCTCTCCACCCCTTCCCTTCCCCTCCCTCCCTCCCTCCCTTCTCTCTCTTTTCTTTTCTTTTCGTTTTTTCTTTTCTTTTTTTCTTTCCTTCTTTTCTTTTCTTTTTGACAGAGTCTAACTGTCGCCCAGGCTGGAGTTCAATGGTGCGATCTTGGCTCACTGCAATCTCCGCCTCCGGAGTTCAAGTGATTCTCCTTCTTCAGCCTCCTGAGTAGCTGGGATTACAGGCGCCCGCCACCAAGCCTGGCTAATTTTTGTATTTTTAGTAGAGACTCGATTTTGCCATATTAGCCAACCTGCCCTTGAATTCCTGACCTCAGATGATCTGCCTGCCTCGGCCTCCCAAAGTGCTGGGATTTCAAGCGTGAGCCACTGCGCCTGGCCTGATGTCTGATTTCGTATACGCTGTTAGTTTATGTGGCTTTATTGGATAGATCTTCTTATTAAATGGAAGCATTAAATTATCTAGTACAAAAAGAATCCAAGTATCATGTATTGCAATTGTGTTATGCAACATATGAGGAAATCGCTGCTGACAAACATTGTAATTTTTCTGGAGCACAGCCCTAGTTGTCAGCATGCAATTTGGAAGGAACCCTCTGTGTCCCATGAAATAATGGACACATTTTTTATTTTTTTCCCAGAGACAAGTGGAATCTCCTTCAGGTGCTCGATTGAGTGTTATCCACATGCTGCAAAGTGCTGCTCAGAGGATTTGTATTTATAGTCCTGGAGGAAAAAAAAAAAAAAAAAAAAAAGCCACTTTGCTTGTTACTGAAGGGACTGGCATGAGGGCTGAGGCTCAACAAATATATATATATATATATATATATACACACACACACAGAGTCATTATTTTGAGTGGTTACTACTAAAATAATGTTACATATTGATCTCTTTATACTAAGTATCAGCTTGTTCCTTTTCAAAAAGCACTTAGAAGCTCAGAGGTAACAGAGTACTCTCTTCCAAGCATTATTCTGGAGGGAGGGAGGAAAGAACACTATTTCAAGTGGTAAGGTTAATAACCTACAAAAAATTCTAATTTTCTGGTAGTAGAAATTCTAAAGCTAAAAATGTGATCTAACACTTCCCCTTTAATTTAATTAACTAATTAAAAATTAATTAACACTTCCCCTTTAATTAAAAATTAATTTAATTTTTAAATTTAAAATGTGGAATACTTTGTTATGATGTGGAGATGTTTATCATTATATGACTGGATTTATAGTTTTGGCTTGTCTAAGTTTTGTACAAGTTTGGAAGATATATTTAAATTATTCCAAAATAAACTGTGGTTGGGCAAAGCTGTTGTATAGAGATATAGAATAATTATTTAAATTAAATAATGTATTTTTATATTTTGAATATTTTAACAAAGTTTTAAAATAATAATACTTTATAATGAAAATGATAGTAAAAAGTCATAAGACTCTATATGTCACTTATGGATTACTTTTCTTATGCCCATTTACTTGATACAATACGGGGTGCTTCATAAGAGTTAAACAATGGAATTACCTTGCAAGATATAGATAGATAAGGCCCACTTTAGAGAGTGGGAAACCAAAGTTCTGAAATATAAAATGACACATGCAGTGGCAAGTGGGCATCCAGCCAAGATTATGTTGCCAAATTCTGCATTCTTTCTACCTGTGTTAGTTTCCCCTAAACTTGGCAGTTTGAAACAATAATGGTTATCTCACACCTTTTCAGAGGGTCAGAAATCTGGGAACAGCTTGGCTGGGTTCTTGCTCATGAGAAATCTCGCACAAGATTGCCGTTGGCTGGAGTTGCTTGTCCTTATCTAGAGGTTTAGCTGGGGCTAGAGTATCCACTTCCAAGTACACTCACACGGTTTGTGTACAGGCTTCTGTTAACTCACTGCTTGCAGACTGAGCTCCACAGCCCCTCAGCTTGAGCTCCTCTGTAAGGCCACTTCCACAAGGGCAGCTGGCTTTCCTGGGAATAAGCCATTTCAAGAGGGAGGGAGGGAGAAAGGAAGAGAGACCCAAGGTGAAAGCTGCGGTCTTTTGTAAGGATCCCAGAAGTGATTTGCCATCCGTTCAGCCATATTCTCTTATTAAAATGGAGTCACTAAATGTAACTCACACTCAAGGGATGAAGGATGAATCTCGACCATCTCAGTGAGGCTAGGTTAAAAATGTGTCGTTCTATTTTTAAGACTACCATGCTACCGTTACAGACTGCTTCCCTATATGTTTTGTCACATGTAAAGTACTACATTTATTCATTGAGTATTACGAATATGTTAAAATTGACGTCAGTATTGCTCTCACATTTTTATAAGAACAGGTAATGAATTAACATGTGATTTAATGTACATGTTTTTTTGATACAAGAAAAAATGGTAGAGTTATTTAAGGTAATGATACGCATGGTAAACATTTATTTAGAGTATCATGATGTTTTCAGAGACAAAGGAACTTAGTATTATTTCTATTAAAATAATTCTATTATTATTTATTTAGTTATTGAATGAGATGCTGAGATGTATATTAAGTCATTTTATATATTATATATCATAAGTGAAAAAAGTATTCAATAATTGGGTGGTAATGGTGAGTTACTATTTATTTCACAAATTGCCATAATATGGAAAATATAAATATTGAGTTTCATTTTGAGTCTAAAATTTTATTTTAAAAATATCTGCATCTAATATTATAAATTCTATCAGGAAATATATTCCAACTTTATGGTTCATAGATATTTTAATGCCTATGTGAACATTTATTTTTAGAACATTATTAAATATATTTCTAAGATACATCACATCATACCTGAAGACTTATTTGTTCCCAACTCAGTGAAAAGTCCAGACCTTTTGAAACTTGGGACTATCCATAGTAGAGTTTTAAGACATTCTCAAAAGCTAATTTTGCTTCCAATGTAATTAATGTAAGGAATTCAAATGTAAGTGGATAAATTAAGGGATTATTAGTTTGGCTCATGAAGAAAGATGTCTTGGAGACAATGAACAAGAAAACTAGTCATGCAACAAAAATGAAAATACTGAATTATATATTTTCTTCTGTTACTGATGTTAAAATTTATAAAATTATTAAAAGTTTATTCTTCACTAAAATTATCAATGGCATTTAAAACATAATTACATAAGAGTAAAATAAAATATCTACTTTTAAAAGTATAATACATTGATTTATATTTAAAGTAGTCAGAGTTATATCAAAACATCATTCCCAAAACTGTCTCCACTATATTAATAATAAAGAAAATAGTAATAATAACCAGACAGTGATATACTCACCAAATCCAAAGTTACAATTTAATTTTCCAAATTTTATAAAGGAGTAAGTTAAATCTCAGAGAAGTTAAATAGATTTCGCAGGGCACAAGGCCACACTAGGCAAGTCAGGATTTCAACCCGCTTTGCTTGATTCCTAAGTTGTTAATTTTTTCCACTTAGACACATGATATTCTTGGAAGGCTCGTCTTTACTGATATTTTTAAAAATTCATGTTTTTATTCAAAGAGGATAAAAAGGCAGATTTCCACTGAAAACATAATAGCTTATAAAATCTTAGTGCTAAAGTTTATTTTTAAAACTCAGGAGAACAAATAATTGAAAATAGTAAGACAAAAGTAACCATAAGCAAAACACTAATGTTTTATAATTGTTAAAAATTGGTATATATCCATTCATTCTTTTAAAAATTATGTGTATGTAAGTGGAATTATACCATACATAATTTTTGAAAGCTTGGCAATATCTTGTTTATTATTTTTCAACTTTAAAAATTTATTATAGACACATAAGTGTACATATGTATGAAGTGCAAGATGATGTTTTAATACATGTACACATTGTGTAATTGTCAAATTATCGTTTGATACATGTATACATTGTGCAATGATCGAATCAGGGTTTGATACATGTATACATTGTGTAATCATTAAATATCCATCAGCTTAAACATTTATCATTTATTTGTTATGAGAACATTCAAAAACCACTCTTCTAGCTATTTAAAATATACGCTATTGTTAACAGTAGTCATACTACTATGCAATAGAATGTCAAAATTTATTTCTGACTGTAATTTTGTATGTACCCACTGACAAATCACTTCCCTCCCTCTCTCCTTCCTCCCCTCCCCTTCTTCTGGTAATCACTCTTCTACTCTCTATATCTGTGAGAACAACATTTTCAGTTTCACATTTGAGTGAGATTACCTGATATTTGTCTTCTATGCCTGCTTATTTCGTTTAACATCATTTTATTTAAATTGTGATAAGAATGTATGACTACATAATTCTACCCTTACCACAAATTTTTAACTGCACAATACAGTATTTTTACCTATAGGAACAGTGTTGTACAGCAGATCTCTAGAATGTACTCATCTTGCGTAATTGAAATTTTGTACTTATTGAAGAGTAACTCCCTGTTTCCCCCTCTTCCAGGCCCTGGAAGCCACCTTTTTACTCTCTGTTTCTGAGCTTGACAATCACAGATACCTCGTATAAGTGGAATCATGCAGTATTTGTCCTTTTGTGACTGGCTTATTTTACTTACCATAATGTTCTCCAGATTCACCCACGTTGTGGCATATGGCTTTTCTTCTTTATGGCTATTATTCTGTTATATATATATACTACATTTTCTTTATTCATTCATCCATCAGTGGACATTCAGGTTGTTTTCACATATTGGCTATTATAAATAGTGCTGCAATGAGCATAGGAGTGCTATTACTCTTTGAGATCTTGATTTCAGTTTTGTGGTCCAGAAATGAAGTTGCTGAATTCTATGGTAATTGTGTTATTAATTTTTGAGGAGCCTCCTCATTCTTTTCCATAAGCAAGCTACATCATTTGAAATTCCCACCAGCAGTTTACACAGAGTCCAACTTATTGACATATTTGCCAACACCTATTTTTTGTAATAATTATCATAATAGATGTGAGACAACATCATTTTTTTTTTTTTTGAAATGGAGTCTCTCTCTGTCACCCAGGCTGGAGTGCAATGGCACAATCTCGGCTCACTGTGACCTCTGCCTCGCAGGTTCAAGCCATTCTCCTGCCTCAGCCTCCCGAGTAGCTGGGACTACAGGCACCCGCCACTATGCCTGGCTAATTTTTCTATTTTTAGTAGAGGCGGGGTTTCTCCATGTTGGTCAGCCTGGTCTTGAACTCCTGACCTCAGGTGATCCACCTGCCTTGGCCTCCCAAAGTGCTGGGATTACAGGCGTGAGCCACCGTGCCTGGCCTGAGACGATATCTTATTTTGGTTTTGATTTGCATTTTGCTGATTATTAGCAATGCTGAGCAAATTTTCTTATACCTTTCAGCCACATATGTGTGTCTTTTTTGAAGAAATTACCATTCTAGTATTTTGCTCACTTTTTAATTGGGTTATTTGGTTATTTGCTCTTGAGTTGTAGGAGTTCCTAATATATTTTGTAATGAGCCTCTTAACAGATATATGATTTTCAAATATTTCTCCCATTTCATAAGTGGTCTTTTAATTTTGTTGATTGTTTCCTTTGCTGTGCCAAAGCTTTTAAGTTTAATGTATCCCCACTTGTACACAATTTTACTTTTTTTGCTTATATTTTTGGTGTCATATCCAAGAAATCACTGCCAAGCCCAATGTCATGAAACATTTCCCCTATGATTTTTTGTAAAACTTTAATTTGTAATCTGCTGTTTCACTTAGTAATGATTTCTTATTTTCCACATATAATTTCTTCTTATTTTCCATATATAATTAAGAATTCATATACTGAATGATTTTTACTCACTCCATATTATTCCTTTACATGGACATACCCTTTTTTTAAAAAAAACTAACCCTTTATTAGTAATCCCCTCTGCTAAATTTTCAATAAGCAGAGCTGGATGAATCTCTCTAAATGTATTCATGAAGAACATTCTTGATTAATTTTATAAAAGGCACCCTGAAATTTGGAAAATATTGCCTATATATCACTATTAACCAATTAGAAGACATGGTATATTAAAAAGTTTTTTTTAACTATAAGAACAATGATTGGACTACATGTAAAATAGGAAAATCATGTGACCACCAATTTTGTATGACCTACATTAAATAAATACTGAAAAGCTGTTCTTAAAGGAATAAATATTACATAATGAAAAGATATGGCATACTCTTGGATATTAAAATACTATTGATAAATAAATAACATAGAGAAAATAATACAGAGATAAATAAAATAATATAGAGAAAAATAATTCCCAAGTCTATAAATGCATTGCAATCTCTTTAGTATAGTTTCTGGAACTAAAGAACATTCAGAATAGGTACAGAAAGAAACACATTTTTAAAAATTGAAGCATCACATGCATATAGAAAAGCATACATATCATAAGTACGACTCAATGACTTTTCATGGAGTGAACTCACCCATGTTCCCTTCATCCAGATAAAGAAACAGAATTGCATCAAAATACAAAATTATGCTATGCTAATTGCTGTTCACCCCCTACAAGGTTCCTGACTTCTACTTTCATAGATTAATTTACCAGATTTTGAATTTCAAATAAATAGTCTTGTTCACTATGGACTCTCTTTTTTTCTTTCATTTAGCACCATTCATAATGGTGCATATAGTTGTAATTATTTCATGATTATTGCTGTATAATATTGATATGTATGAATACAGGAGTATTTAACTATTCAAATGATGAACATTTGGCTTTTTTTCAGTTTAGGATTATTGTAAAAATTGTTGCTCTAGGTATACGTGTATGTGCCTTTGGAAAAATATATGTACTTATTTCTGTTGGCTTCATCAGTAGAATTATTGAATCATAGTGTATATGTATATTCAGTTTTAGTAGATATTGCTGAGTAGTTTTTCATATTGCATACACCAACTTAAATGTGTGGGCAATGTAAGAAAATTGTAGTTTGTCCACAACCTGACTAATGTATAGTATTATGTGTCTTTTAAATTTCAGCCATTCTGCTGAGTATATAGTGGTATCACCTTGTGGTCTTCATTCACATTTCCTTGATAATTAATAAATTTCATCATTGTTTTATATGTTTAGCAACAATATGGGATATCACTCTAGTGAAGACATTCGGTTTAAACATTTTGCCCATTTCTTTTTTTCACTGTGGCTTTTTAATTGTTTTGTAGAAACTCTTTATATGAGGAATTTGTCATATAAATTGTATGGCAAATATATTATTTCACCCTTAGATTGCTTTTTCATTCTATTAATGGGTGTTTCTTTTAAGGAATTATATTTCTTAGTTTAATATATTTTACCTTAACATATTTCCTTATGATTAATATGCTTTTCTGCATTGTTTTTAAGATATCTTTGCAAACACTAAAGTCATGAAGATATTCTACTGTTTGTTTCTTTCTAACAATGAAACAACTCTATCATCTTTTAAATTAAATTTTAATTTTGAGATAAGTATAGATTCACATGCAAATCTAAGGTAACACAGAGAAATCCCATGTACTCTTTAACCCATTTCTCTAATTTCCTAACTTCTATCTTGTAAAGTTATAATGCAATATGAAAACCACAAAATTGGTAGTAATATAGTCCACCAATCTAACTCAGATGTCCTTAATTTTACATGTACTCGTTTGCATATGTATTTATTTGTGTTTCTATGCAATATTATCACACATATAGTAATTAGTAACAGATTTCCGTCAATTCATTGGCTTAAAACGCTAGAAATTGGTTTTCACTGTTCTGGATACCAGAAGTCCAAAGTCAGTATCACTAAACCAAATTCAAGGTGTTTGCCAGGCTGTGCTCGCTTTGGAGGCTCTAGGGAAGAATCTGTTCTTTGGCCTTCCAGCTCCCAGTGGCTGGTGTCATTGCATGCCAATCTCTTCCTCTGTGATCACACAGCCTCATCTTTTATGTGTGTACCTAGCCCCTTGCCTCTCTCTTAGAAGGAGGTTTATGATGGTATTTAGGTCTCACCCAAGTAATCTAGGATAAGCTCTTTATTTTATTTATTTATTTTTATCTTTTTGAGAGGGAGTTTTACTCTTGTTGCCCAGGCTCGAGTGCAATGATGTGTTCTCGACTCACTGCAACCTCCGCTTCTTGGGTTCAAATGATTCTCCTGCAAAGTAGCTGGGATTACAGGCTGCCACCACCATGCCCTGATAATTTTTTTGTACTTTTAGTAGAGAAGGGGTTTCACCATGTTGGCCAGGCTGGTCTCAAACTCCTGACGTCAGATGATCTGCCCGCATTGGCCTCCCAAAGTGCTGGGATTACAGGTGTGAGCCACTGCGTCCGACCAAGCTCTTTATTTTAAAATTTTTAATTTAACCATATCTGCAAGGACCATTTTTTTTTCCCCAAATAATGCGACACAGGTTGCAGAGATTGAAGCATGGATGTTTTCTGGGGACCATTTTTCAGTCTTCCACGTTTAGATTTGTGTAGCTACCATCACAGTCAGAATACAGAACAGCCCCTTTTACCATGTCTACCTCAGTCTCAACTGCTTTTCACTGGTCCCCTCACCCCTGGAAATTACTTACCTGTTTTCCAACTCTGTATCTTTGTCATTTCAATCATGTTATATAAGTAAAGTCATTTAATATGTAACCTTTGGGGTTTGGCTTATTTCATTTAGCATAATTCTCTGGAGATTCATCCGAGTGTTATGTTTATAAATAGTCTATTTTCTTATTGCTGAGCCATTTCGTTGTGGTATGGCTGTATGGTTTATTTAGTGATTCACCTGTGGAAGGACACTTCAGTTATTTTCAGATCCAGGTTATAACAAATAACTCTGCTATCAACATTTGTGTAGAGGTCTCTGTGTGAACATAAGTTTTCATTTCTCTGGGATCAATACCCAGGAGTGAAATTGCTGGGTCGTTTGGAACTGCTGGGAGGTTTAGAACTTGATCATTTTTAACTCTCAGACCCTTTGCTCTTTTAAGACTCACAGTCTTACAGCTAAGACAAATTCAAGTAAGCCCAATGCTTTCATCAGAAAAACCACTCATTTATAAAAAGTATGACCTTAAACAAGATCAAGCTCAGCATTTGTGGCTTCTTCTTATACTTCCTGGCAACACAGACTTTTATTGAAAGCCTTACCAGTTTGCAAGACATTCCATCAAAAATCTACCTATTTCAGCTCAAGTTTCTTCTCAGGGAGAATCTCAGTTCTGTTCCCTGATTGACACTATAATAAAAACTTCAGCTGGATTTTTCCCATAAATTCAGCCAACATGCCTCTATCCCAGCAGTGAACATAATCCAGATTTAGGCCAAAATATCTACTACATAGAGCAGTGTTCAAGTGAGCATTTAGATCCAAGGTTCCATTAAAAAGGAAATATTGAATAGGCAACCTAAAACCTAAACATTTGCAATGAGAACAAAGACACAGGAGCAAATCTTCAGCAAAGACAGAATTATCTGTGTACATCAGAGAGAAAAATTCACCTTCAGGAATTTTCAGGACTTAAAGACTAACCTCATCATTCTTCTTGAGACCCTAAGAAATTCTTCAGGCAAGTGTGACATAGTGATAAATTACTCTTTGATGTTCACTAACATTGAACAAGTCTGAGAAAAGATAGAAATGTTCAGAGGTCAAATGTTACTGACTTTCTAGCCCCAAATGCTTGTACAAACAGCTATGAAGATAAATGGGAACTCATTTGTAAAATGCTGTATGACAACCAAAACAAATGCAATTTTATTCAGCTCACAATGCACATATGGTTTCTTAATTTTCTATAATAATAGAAAATATCTTCACAAAAATATAAAGAATAAGTTGCTGTTACAGGAACTTCAGTATATGTTTATTTTAATAATTTAAATAATCCAATTTATGAATTTAGAAATATTTTTTTTTAGGTAGCCAGACATTTACTTAATCCTAGTGACTTATGATCTTGTCATTTTCTTAATATGCCATTTGTTTACTATGTCTATTTCTCATATTAAGTATGTATTAGAATACTCAGTAGACATGTGAAATGTATCTATTTAACTGGTTAAAGTATCCTGAGTTTTGTAGAAAAACCTGTATTCATATGAACATATCACTTCTATTAACAATGGCATCCAAATAGTCAAGTGGTTATTAAATTTTTGATATGTTTACATTGAAATACTGTAGTCTTTCACCTAAAAGAGGAAGTTTAAAAACTAAAATAGATCCAATTTTAAAATATCAGTGGATTTTTTCTAGAGATTCTTGATTCTTTAATGTGTTTGAGGGTTATTAGAAATTATGGAGCCCTTGCATCTCTCTTTAAAAAAGAAATAAATATAAAATCTCTTACTTTTCAATCAGTACAGTCTATTTTAAGATAAATAATTTTTAAAATGCAAGAAAAGCAAAAAGATAGCGGGTATGCAAGGTGATAATGATAGGTTTGACAATGCAAATTACTTCTGTAAAATCATAGAACATGCTGCTTGTTTACTTTCCCACCTCTGATCTTTAATATAGGAGTTTTTCAATATGAGATAATGAGTTAAAAATAACAGGAGGCTAAATATATGTTTTCACTGGAAATCAATTTCCACCACATTTTAGCAACAATAGCTTCCTAAAAGAGAATTTAGGTGAGCAAAAATAACAAACAACAAGTGCTGAAAAGTCACATTAACTTCCATAAATCTTCCTTAAATAGTCTCTACCACTCAGTACAAATAAGCAAGACTGAAGTTCCCCTACAGTTGTGCCCTCCCTAATATTCCCCCTGAATCTGTTGTAATGTGAGGCTAAATAATCTTGTAGGAGAGAGAGAGAGAAAGAGAGAGAAAATGAATGTATGTATATGTGTGTAAATAACCTCTGCTTACAAACTAGGAATGCTTTTTAAAGTCATTATCAAGCTGTGTCAGTCTATGTGGTCCTGAAAATACAATTTGGTCCTTTCTTTTTGAAGTCCCTCTGTGTGATTCAGCAATTCCTTGTGTCTAGAAATAATGTGGATATATGCAAACGCTATTTGGGGAAAACTTTTCTCACTATGGTACTAATTCTAGTGTACTTATTAACACAATTTGTATCAATATTAACATACACAAATATATTTTATATTGTATCAGTTTCTTGTTGCTGCATAGCTTAGTACAATCAGGCTGCTATAGCAAAAGGCCATGAATTAGCTAGCTTACAAACAATAGTAATTTACAGTTTTGGAAGCTGGGATATCCATAACTCACCTCCTGGTACCTTCTCCTGTGTCCTCAGAGGCAGAGGGGCAGAGGGAGCTGTTTGGGAGGCCTCTTGTATAAAAGCACTAATGCCATTCATGAGGGCTTCACTCTCATGACCTAATCACCTCCCAAATTTCCCATCTCTCACTGCTATCACATTGGGAATTAGGTTTTAACATATGACTTTTGGGGAGACAAAAGCATTTAGGCCATGGCACTGCATAACAAATTACTCCAAAACTTGACAGCTTAAATAACAACCAGTGTTTAATATGTTGCATCACTTTTGTGGATCAAGAAATTAGAAGCCACGTAAGTGGGTGGTTTTGGTTCAGGGTCTCTTATGAGATCACTTTCAAGAAGTGTTGGCAGGGATGTCATCTTCTGAAATCTTGACTGGGCCTAGAAAATGAGCTCACCCATATGTTCTCGGAATCGGTACCTTTCTATCTGGGCCTCTGCTTGAATGTCCGTGTGATCTGATAACTGGCTTTCCACAGAGTGAACAATCCAAGAGAACACAAGGTGAAGAGTTTTTGGAAGTCACACTCCATGATTTCTACAATATTCTTATTGGTCACAGGTTCACCCTACTCCATGTCAGAGAGGACTATACAGGTACATAAATACCAGGAGGAAATGCACATGAGGATTACAGATCGTTGGAGACTGTCTCTTAGCTAAATAAGTCATTCCAGTGTTAAGAATTTTAGACAATATAATTGATGATTATGAGGGTAATAACATTACAAAGTTGATGCCCTACACAAATTCTTGTTTCCAACCCTTTCTCAATATGAAAAAGTAAAATTGAATTTCCTTATTTATTATTTTAACATATCAAAAAGTAATGAGTATCATATATCACCGCATTATTTTTCCTCCCAAAGGTAAACTAACATTAGCTAGAGCACTTTAAAGATATACTTGTCCTTTATTAACCAAGCAAGTAGAATTTTAGCTCTAAGGATACTTTAGCTACTTCAGACAGTGTCTTCTAACTTTTATTTGCAATAGAGTTAAACCTTAATTATTTCTATTGTTTCCTATTGCATTAAATTTTCAAATTAAATCTAGTTTTTATTTTGCATTTTTATCATCCCTGACACCTACCCAATTGCACATTTACTACTCATCCTCATTTCCCACAAAGTGCTAGGACTAAGAGAACAGAAAAGTGAGCTTGAAACACAGCCAAATAAAAAGTCAGCAAGACAATGCCCTTAAAGACATCTCATCTGTGGCAACTCTTCATTTGATCTTTGTTTCTCGAAGTGTCCTTCTCTCCTGCTTTGCTCCTAGGAAATGCTTTTAAACATAAAATATGTAATTACATTCCATTCTCTTAGTAAATGTGTGAGTCAGTTAGAAAGCAAACATATATAATAGGGAGATGGGATCTGCCCAGGCTGGAGGTTTGTATCATTTCCAAAGCTGATGTTTCTATTCTGAAAACAGAGTATCTCAGCCTGGGGAGAAATTCAGAGGTTACATGGATCTCACACCAATCTGAGGCTAGAATCTTCTCCTGAATATAATCCAGTTAATGTTGTTTGAGGCACTTATAACAGGGAATTCATTATCTCCTGAGGGAGATAATGTGGGAATCTTGATCAATTTGGGGCTGTTATAAGTTGTATTGTGAGTTATTACTTAAACTGAGTAAAAAAATTATAAATTATCTTTTACGTGATTATCTTTCATTTTGTGCATAACATAATCTCTGAAGCAACACTAATTCAAGTTGAAGGGTTCTAGTTTCCACAAAATATTTTTTGTAAGGATTCAGGATTATGCTCTTAGTCATGAACCTTTGATTTGGGAAAGGTTTCTACTCACACGTTAGCCCTATCCCCATTCCTCTGCCATCCAGACAAGAATTCTGAAATAAATAAAATTATACTGATGTTAGAAAGTGAAACTATAAAATCAGCACATTTTATTTTGGAGGTGCACTGTCACTTGAACGAGATAGAAAGATTCTTAGATCCACAGATAAAGGCATATTGAAGACTATATCATTTAGAACAGGGATAGGTAAAATGGAATGATACAGAGAGCAGACCAAGCCAAAGGATGCCAGTGCCAAGGGTAGAAATTGACAAGGAAGTAAGAATTACATAATGAATTTTGGATATTAGAGTCTTACTAAGGATGTTATCCACTATTGTGGAAATAGATAGTTCACCCATTAATAGTAAAGTTGTCTATTATGTAACTAAATCTTCTTTTTCTGATTCCACATTCACTCAGAAACTGGTTTTAAATTGGTTTTCTACGCAAATCTATCTATAAGAAGTGACCATTGTGGTTATTCTGGAAAAAGTATTGCAACCTATATGACATTTAAAATACATTGATGTTCAGCCTGGCCAACATGGTGAAACCCCGTCTCTAATAAAAATACAAAAATTAGCCAGGCATAGTGGTGGGCGCCTATAATCCCAACTACTCAGGAGGCTGAGGGAGGAGAATCACTTGAACCCAGGATGCGGAGGTTGCAGTGAGCCAAGATTATGCCACTGCACTCCTGCCTGGGCGACAGAGCAAGACTTTGTCTCAAAAAAAAAAAAAAATGGTGTTCTGGGCTAATGCTGTTCTGAGTTTGATTAATGTGAAATGTCTGCATTTTCTGTGCAGTGTCAAAATTGTGTCGTTTCTCAGCAAGCCAAGTATCTTTGAATGGAGCTTAGCCATTGGACATTTATATATTCAACAAGACCATTGTAGCAGGCAGAATGGTAGTCCCCCAAAGATTTCCACATCCTAATCCTCAGAACCTCTAAATGCACCACATGGAAAAAAAGTACTTTACAGATGTGATTAAGGGTCTTGAGATGGGAGATTCTCCTGGTTTATCTGGGTGGGCCCGAAGTAATCACAAGTGTTGGTAAAACAGAGAGAGATGTGACAGTCCAGGAAGGTGGAGTGTGATGTGCTCTGATATGGCAGAAGGGGCTGCAAGCTGAGAAATGCAGGCAGCATCCAGAAGCTTGTAACAGCACAGAAAACAGATGACCCCCAGAACCTCCAGGAGCATGAATCTGCCAAGACTATTTAGCTTGTTAGACTCATTTTGGACTTCTGAACTCCAGAACTGTAAACCAATTAATTTGTTTTGTGGTAAGCTACCAAGTTTGTGGTAATTTGATTATACTAGAGATTGGAAACAAATACAGTAATTCATCTTCAGAAGATTCTTAGATGGTAACCATTTGGCCTTTTCCTGTTAATAGCCTCATCTTGCATTGCAAGATTTTTCTCATGTGTACATATTTATATGATATCGCATGTAATTCTCTTCTGGAGCAAACAGCATTTTGGACACAATCTGATATCTCTGATTTATTGTTATTAGATAATGCATTTTATGAGCACATTTTAAAATCATGACTTTTTTTGGCTGTGACCATATGTGTGTTTAGGCCTTTTAAAAATTAATATAAATTGCTAGATCTCATTTTTCTAATCAGAGATCCTTTGATTTTAAAAGTCAAGTACTATAAAAACCTTCCCTTAAGGAAAACCCTAGGCCTGGTGGCATCAGATGTAAATCCTTTACAATATTTTCATTTAAAATAACAGCATTTTAAGATAAATTCTTCTGCAGAATAGGACAGTAATGGTTTATTGAGATCAACTAATGATATTATAACAAAAGAAAAACAAAAGCCAGAGTCTCCCCTAAATATAAATTCAAAACTCATAAAAATATTAACACAAAAATACAAGAGCTATAAAAAATAGCTAGGCTGAACTTATTTCTGAAACACATGGTCATTTAAGTTTGAAACTCAATAAATTTCAAAAATTTTATAGGATGTTGGAGAAAAATTACACATTTCTCTCAAGAGGTACAGAAAAAAAATTGGCTAACATTTGATGTCAATTTATTATAAAATTATTAGCAAACTAGATATACAAATGGCCATCCATATCCATGAGTAGTACATTGTTGGATTCAACTATCTATACATAGAAAATATTCAAAAAGACCTGATGATTGGCTTTGTACAGAAAATGTACAGACTTTTTTGCTATCATTATTCCCTAAAAAAATACAATACAACAACCATTTACATAGTATTTACATTTATTAGGTTATAAGCAATCTAATGATGATTTGAAGTATATGGGAGGATGTGCATATATTATGTGCAAATACTATGTCATTTTATATCACAGAGTTGAGCATGCACAGATTATGGTACCCCTGGTGGGTCCTGGAATGAATCCCTCACAGATACCAAGGGAAGCTATAAAACAGCATTTCCTTTACCAGGTAAAAACGTATTGAAAACAAACATATTTATTGGCAAAAATAATTAAAACATTCTTCTGGAAATCAACAACAAGTAAAAAAATGTCTGTTACCAGGACTTCTATTTAAAATTGTACAGGAGGCCTCTGCTAATGCAAAGAACATGAAATATGAGTGTAACATCTAATGAAGAAGAAATTTTTAAATGTGATATTTAAAGGAGGATGACTATGCACATAAACAATTGCACAGATTCTACAGATCAATAACTGAAATTAGTAAATAATTTTAGCAGATTTTCTGTTAGAAAGCCACAATGCAAACACTAATTTTATTTCTATAGACCAGCCCCAAATTAGAAATTTAAAATTTAAACTACTACATATATATAAATTTATATACATTTATAAATTTAACACACCATATATATGTGTGGTGTGTGAGTATCAGAAAACATGAAATGGTTAGAAATAAATCTAATGAAAGATATCTAAGACTTACACACATACAAAATTCCTAAAGCCATTACTGAAAAAAACAAAGAAGACATAAATAAAAGGAAATATATACCTTGTTAAGGATTTAAGTGTTGTGAAGATGTGAATTCTTTCAAAATAGGTCTGTAGCATCCATTTAAAAAATAAAAATAAACTGTCGGTGTGTGTGCACATGTATGTTTTTGTGTGCAAGCTAATTGTAAGATGTACGTGAAAATGCAAATGGCCAAAGATAGCAAAAATAATCTTGAAGAAGAAAAGGGTAGAGGGCTAGCACTATTTTACATCAAAGCTAATTATAATGCAACATGGTAAAGCAGTGTGATAGAAATCTCAGAAGAGACAAATAGAATAAGGGAATAGAATGGAGAGATTAGAACCTACCTATACAAATACTGCCATATAATTTGTGATATAGGTGGTGGCCACACCATGCAATTGTGTATGCATGGCCTTTTTGACATATGTTTCTGAATCAACTGAATATTCA
Organism: Homo sapiens; assembly: GCF_000001405.40. Taxonomy (NCBI): domain Eukaryota; kingdom Metazoa; phylum Chordata; class Mammalia; order Primates; family Hominidae; genus Homo; species Homo sapiens. Next base: position 19,887,925 of record NC_000005.10, on the reverse strand, counting down.
ATTCAAAAAAATTGAACCATGACCTTTGTCTCACACCATATACAAAAGTAAGACCCTGGGTGTGGTGGTTCACATCTGTAAATCTCAACACTTTGGGTGGCTGAGGCAGGAGGCTTGCTTGAGTCCAGGAGTTCAAGACTAGTCTGGGGAGCAAGGTGAGACCCAGTCTTTACAAAAAAATTAAAAAAAAAAAAAACACATGGTGGTGTGCACCTGTGGTCACAGCCACATTGGGAGGCTGAGGCAAGAAGATCACTTGACCCCAGGGGGTTAAGGCTACAGTGAAATATGATCATGCCACTGCACTCCACACTGAAGACAGAGTTAGACACTGTCTCTAGAGGAAAAAAAAAGCAAGTCCCAGATGGATTGTAGAGCTAAAGGTGAATATTAAAACAATACAACTTTTGGGGAAAAAGACACATGAGAATAACATCATGATTTTGTTTCTTAAATAGAACGTAAATCACTATTAAAGAAAAGTTAATAAATCTATTTTAAAAATCTATTCATCAAAACAGATCATGAGGAGAGGGATAAAGCACAGGAGATATATCAAACGCACACATATATATAAAATATATATTAGGCAATGCGGTTATCTCAGAATATAACTCATAGAAACCAATGAGATAAGGAGAAATAGCTACATTGGAAAGCTGTTTGGGAATAAACTGGTAGTGAGTATGCGCTGTTACGTTTTTGGTATAAGCTAATTATAAGTTGTATGTGAAAAAGTAAATGGCCAAGGGTAGCAAAAAAAAAAAACAAAAAACAAAAAAACAAATTTTTAGCCATTCTTCTCTTAGCTCTGTGTATGTATCACATAAATAATGCATATACATGTGGGCACCTGAAGCCAAGTATATGTGTATTTATACTGACCTTATTTATTATGGTACCCAACTAAATCAACCCAATATACATCAATAACAGTATGCATAAATAAATATTGGTAATTTGTCATATGCAATAATATATAGCAATGTAAAGATCAAGCTACTGCTATGTTTTATGAAATGGATACATCCGACACACACAATGATGAATGAATGAATCCACACAAAAAGAATAGTATATCATATGACATAATTATTTCAAGTTAATTGACAGCAGAGGTAGGTTACCTTTGTTGAAAACCAGTGAACAAAGGGGACACGTGTAGACATCTGGATACTGGTGATGTAATTCTTGAGCTGGATGTGATTACACAGGTGCTTTCACTTTACAAACATCACTGAAGTGTATATTGAAACAAGTGTGGCCACCCTCCTATATATGTCATATATTTCTATGAAAGCTTATTACAATAAAAGATACATTACCGGAGTAACACACATACTCAAAAGAGAAAGATTGATTGCGAGGAAACACAGCAAATCTCAGGAACATCCTAAGTCAGAAAATAAAAATTTAACTGGCTTGTAGAAACTCGGACTGGATGTCAGAATTTAGGGTTGCTTCTTCATATTTGGCAACTGAAATAATTGCCTCTTGTCTCTGTTTCTGTCCTCTCTGTGATTTTGATTCTTTTTGCCAGCTAGCTTTCTTCGCTTACTCATGCAATCTCCTCTACTGCATAGCTTTTAGCTTGCATGTGGCTTTGACTCACCATGTCACGAAAGCTAAATCAGGTACTGGGTGCATTTTCATTTTAAGTACTGCAGTCATCTAATGTACTTCACCAGCAGAATCTAAATTCTAGATCCAAGAAAGATTATTGTCAGCTGGCTTTATTCAGGGTCCAATTCTGAGCCCAGTATCAAGTAATAAAGATTGAGTGGTGTGATAATTAGAGATGCTTCAACCAAAGTATGTGAGTTAATCAGTTTTATTCTTGTTTTACTTTTTTGCTTTAAGAAGAAACCTGTGATTGTGAAAAACTCATTGAAATTCCTTGCTACCGCTATGGTCATGGAAATAAAATGGCATGATACAGAAGTTCTCAAACTTTTTGGTCTCACACACTCTCAAATTTATTGAGGACCATAAAGAGATTTTGTTTCTGTAGATAAGATCTATCAACGCTCACCATATAAGAAATTAAAACTAAGAAATTGTAAACACATTCCTTTTAATTTTCTAAAATAACAATAACAACTCATTGCATATTAGCATGTCATCTGTTGTTATGAAAAATAGCTGTATTTAAAAATAATAGAAGAGCTGCATTGTTTTACATTTTTGCAAATAAAGATTAGCTGAGTGTCATGGTGCATGCCTGTAGTCCTAGCTTGCTCAGGAGGCTGAAACAGGAGGATTACTTGAGCCCGGAAGCTCTAGGCTGCAGTGAGCTATGATCGCACCACTGTACTCCAGCCTGAGCAAACAGATCAAGACCCTGTAGAACTCTTGTTTTCTAAAGCCAGATCTCTTGCTCTTAAGTACAGTTTGTTATCTTTGTTTGGCAATTTAAGATGTAAACAACAAATGTTAATGCATTTTTTAACCGATGTATTTTACACTAATATAAAACCTAATGAATTATTCTTAGATGTATGAAATCACATTACAGATTTACTGTCCCTTTTTAGACATCATGCCAAATGCTGTATGCAAATCTGATTTGCTTGATAACAGCTAGTACTCTTGACAGCATTTAAAATAAACTGGATGTCATTATAACTTAACGGTCACACCAACCTTCCAAAGTACATGCTGTTTTAATATACATTGTACAAGTTAAGATGAAGGTTTTAGAGATTAAGTCACTTGGCCTCAGCCAGAGAGATAGTCAAAGATAGAGCTAGATTTTGAACTTTGATATGTTGGCACCAGAGTTCATTCCCTTAACCACAAAGTTATCTAATTTTGAAATAATTTTTCGCCCATAATATGGAAGGCAGTGGAAAAAGGAAGCAGGAGGTGGGATAAATGTATGTTGATTAGTGATACATTATTATTTTTTTGAACTGCCGTAACATCTCAAACTACCAATATCACTTTGCAAAAATGTATAATGTCTTGATAGTGTGAAAAATTAATTATAATCCATTAATTATAATGTCCCTAGTTTGCTTTTGTTCTGTTATTTATAAATGCTATTATTTGATAACCTTGCTGTACTACATATCATACTAGTTTAGTGGAAAGAGAAAGAGTGACTGTTTAAAAAATTTTTGTAAAGATTTAAATTTCTTACTTAAGCTTCTAGAAATAATCCTGTCCTTTCAAGCAACAATAAAATGATAAAATAACATAAAAGATGATTCACACCAATACTTTTTTTAAAAACACAGGATTGTTACAAGTATTTAAAACGTTTATATTATTTTAAAACACAGAGTTGTCATAAGTATGTAAAACATTTATATTATTTATTTCCCATATTTCTTTTAATCTATGTATCTTTTATAATTTAATAATATTGTACAATATACTTATATACTATTTTGGATGACTTATGTATTTTTTATAATTTTAATGTTTTGTATAGGAACTCTTTTCAGTAAGAAATGAAATGATAGATTTCAACTTAAAATAGAAATTAGCCTCAAAGGTAAAATAATGCTCTGTTAGGCAGTATTTAATAACTTTTCTATATTTCTAATTTATTTCAGGACTGTTTAGTTCTCCTTTTATTGTTCTCATTCTGTTCCATTAATAGGTCTTAAGTTTACCTCAGAGAATCAACTGCCAAAATCATCAAAGTTTTAGTGAAAACAATTTTGTTAACAGTCTTTTATAGCAAGAAATGAGCTGAAGTAGGCGACCTTGCCGCAAAATTTGTTTTCAGACTTTTTAGTAGAACATGGGGCTCTAACTGTAGCTGTAATTTTAACTTCCCATTGACTGTCAGTTGAAAATATATAGAAAAAGATGTGCTATTCACAGAAATCTCCATAAAAGGCTTAAAGATTATACATTTCAACATATCCAACTGACAACCCATGCTTTACTGCACATAAAAATAATCACACATTAAAAAGATATAAACACTTTATGGCCTGTAAAACACAAATCAAATTGTATTCTTTAAGTCATGTTTCAGAAAGTAAAATATAATTTAAACGAAGATGACATGAATAATAGTTTAATATTATATATTAGCATTATACTAAGCAAAAGTATTATTTTAATATTGAAAAGAGTAAGCACATTGCTTCAGTAAACTCTCGTCTATCCTTGTATATTTACAAGTTGAGATTTAGTTCTGCATTTGAAAGTAAAAATTCAAGTAGAATAAACATTTTGCCTTAAAAACAGAACGTCAAACCCCTTTTTATTTCAGATCCAATTCACTTGGCATTTTCAAATTCTAGCTAATATTCAGAATATAATCTTTGCATTTAAGACATGATACTGAACAAATAAAATGTAATATTTAAACTATATAAACAAATATAAAAGAGAAACTCACTTTGAAAATGTAATACTGGACAAAACAATTATGGTTCTTTTTCTAAATCATTAGAGATGAAAGGGCAAAACTCATGCTTAGAAGTCAAATATATCACAAAGCCCTACCAAAAAAAAAAAAATGTTGATGTAGTAAACAATCAATGGATAGTCATTGTGTGAAAACCTGTATGACCAAGAGTAGGTTTCAGTGTATAAACTGCTTGTGATTTCGTCAGTGACTTGAGTGCTACTCTAACGGTATCACAGAGTGTAACACAATTTGAACTCAATCTTCGTTTCAAAGAACTGTTTATATCATTTCTCAAGACCAGTGATGCTAAGCATTAGCTTCCTAACGTTAGATTCCAAAGTGTCATAAGAATCATCTGAAAAGCTTATTTAAAATGTAGTTTTCAGCCAATGCCCACAGATTTTGATTCTGTAAGTCAAGGTCAGTGCTCTCGAGCCAGCATTTGGGGCTGTCTGAAGCACGTGGGAGGCAGAGTATCTTGCACAGATTATTTCTTCTGTTTCAGGGTTAAACTACCTTGAAAAGCCCAACCACACCTTTCCTTTAAAGGGCTAAATATATTTAATAGCATATATTATTCTTGTTATTAATTTGAAAGTCATCTGGTCATATAAATATAATAGTAATTTTATAAAGATAACAAAAATGCATCCAAAGATATCTTGATACCTGATAACTTACAGTTAAATTTCATAGTTCTTGCTTCTTTCATTTATCAGTGAGGATGTAAATATAGTAATATCTATTCCATAATCATACATACGTATTTTTTTCTGGCATTCTCTTAGGGCATTAATTCTAAGATGACAGTGATTACATATTAATGAAAAATTTTCTGAGACTTCTTTCTAAGGTTTGGTATCTTCATTCACATCACAATTAGCACATATTGATGCCATGCCTTCACTGCAGTAATACTTCAGAGAGTTTGGATACAAAACTTTTCTGAAACTAAAGTAAAACAGTGAAATGAACCTTTGTCCTTAGTATTTTTAATATATAATAGTCCAAACTATTATTTTAATTTAGATAATACTCAGAATATTTCCAATTTTTAAACAATGTGTATGAAATTCTTTATCTCTTAAGATTCATTTGACTTAATGATCCTAAGAAAATTAAACTTTTTGACATAACTTTAAAAATAAAACAGCCACAAGGTAATGTGGCTTATATGTTATGCTTGCATTTTATAATAAAAATGAATTTATTACTGAATGTACATCTACCTAAATGTTATATACAATGAATTATGAAAAATAATAAACTATTCCTATACTCAGAATATTTTCTAGGTGAAGTAATGAGACACAGAATCAAAGAATCACAAGGAAAGAACTGTAAATTGTGAACATTGCTTTTGAGTTGGCAATTTTCTTCCCAAAAATGAATAAAATAATATTGTAAGACATGTATTATGAGTTGCACAGATGATTTTTGAACACAGAATACTAATGGAAGGAGATCAAACCTGGCAATAATTCACAAAGATAATATGTTGTTGAAATTTTAATAGTCACATTTGTATGTGACATCATCTAAGTCGAGATTTTCAAAATACATTACAATTAGTGGAGGTATACCATGAAGTTCCATGTAAAAAAATACCAAAAATTTGTTCCCCTGTTGAACTACAGGATAGTTCAACATGGTTATAATAGAATACAGAATGAACATGTATAAGATGTAATTAAGCCCATCAGGTAGGGAACCAGCAGAATAATAAAGGTAATTCAAAAGGCATTTGAGGCCAGGTGCAGTGGCTCATGCCTGTAACCCCAGCACTTTGGGAGGTCGAGGCGGGTGGATCACCTGAGGTCAAGAGTACGAGACCAGTCTGGCCAACATGGTGAAACCCTGTTTCTACTCAGAGTATAAAATTAGCTGGGCGTGGTGGTGCATGCCTGTAATCAGGTACGTGGAAGGCTGAGGCAGGAGAATCGCTTGAACCCAGGAGGTGGAGATTGCAGTGAGCCAGGATCATGCCATTGCACTCCAGCCTGGTTAACAAGAGTGAAACTCCATCTTAAAAAAAAAAAAAAAAAAAGCACTTGAAGAGCTGGGTATTTGTCAGCGTTTGAATAATGAACATTAGACTAGAGTAAATCTGTTTGACCAGATACAAAACTGATGTTCTGCATGAAAATAAAACCATGACCTTTGATGTTATAGTTTCTACTAGGCTGAACCATTTGCATTTGTCTTGACAAAAAAAATCTATTTATTATGTAACTCAACAGAGTATTGACCTTTAATCAATAGTGGGTAGCACATAAGACAAAGAAATATTTGTCTAGATATTTACATAAGTTTTGGACCCACTATTAAAACAAGGCATTGAAAGGACTTACTCTCTTCCCTTTTCCTTGTTTCCAAATGTTAGTAATTTTTCTTATTAATATTGTATCTGCCCTCTGCCTTCATACATATCCCTTCATAATATGATTGTCTAGCTTATGGCACCGTTTAATAAACTCTCTCACCTCTCCTTTTGCCAGAATAACACTTCCCTGGAGAGCAGGAAATAATTAACTGTGTGAATTCAAAGGGACTCCCTGCAGGGCTATAGGCTTCATGCTAAGTAAGAGTAAATAGAAATTGTTTGCAGTGTCAACAATTACAGCCAACAGAGTCAATAAGAATTTAGAGATAAGATTAACAATAGATAAGTGACTAAATGGGAAACATTCCTTTTGAGAGTTAATGGCATCTTTATTTGGAAAGTTTCTGAGATTTTTAGTGTTTCTCTATGAGCATACAAGTGTTTCAAACAGATTTTTCAAACTAATTTTAGATTTTGGATGTTGCATTAAAAAATGCCTTCATGCTTTGAACAGACATAATTAAATGCTATTTAATGTGCCCTTCAGAATGAGATACTTGAATAATTTACTGTAGTTCATTCCACAGTGCTTAAGTCCAGAGCAATGATTACACCAAATTGATCTCTTGACATTTTTCACAGCACTTCATTTTCAAAGTAGTTGGTCTTGTACACATGTGTATCAACCAAAAATATTGCAATTCAGAGGAGCTCTTCAACAGACTGTCAAATAAATCTATCCTTCTTCAATGCTTAATTCACTTGAAAGCTAAATCCTATAGATTTGATGGTTATCTAAATGAGTATAATTACTCTTCATTTTAGGGTTTCTAAAAATGCTTCTTCTTGTTTAAAATTACTCGATTTGCATTCACCTCTGTATATGTAAATGGTATTTGTTGTTTGGAAGCTGAATTTAAATAAAATGTAATTTAATATACTTAAGTTTCTAATATAGCTAGGCCTCTGCTTGTGGACTTCTTTTGGTAACTTTTGAATGACTTCATGTCTTATATCCATCTAAGGGAGTTTCAGTGTGTGGTTTTGGGTCAGTTAGATAGTAGAAAAGAAAAGAGATAGAAGTACATATAGAGTTTACCTGAACATGATGATTTCTTTGAGCATTTTCCCAAAATAGAAGCCTGGTTCATACTACACTCTGGGAACATATTATTTCTACAATGTCAAATGTATGTTTGCATGGTATATTTAATGCCCCTAAATAGAAATACATTAGGATTTGGCTTTGTGTACATAGTTTTCTATAATTTGCCTGGTAGGACACAACAGGATTTCAAGCAAACAATTCATTAAGTCACCTTTAAAAGATATAAATAAGTATTTTCTTAACATGTATATAGACATGACATCAAATGAAACCCTGAGAAGAGGCCACAGTAGAATATTTCAAGCATGTTAGGCCCAAACTAGGAGACTCCAACTATGTCTTTGAAAGAAACAACTAATTAAACAAATCAAATGTATTTAATTAAATATCTATGATCTCTCTGTGATGCACACATATCCCATTTCCTATATAAGCCTTTCATATTTTGGTGTTTCTAAATACTTCAACTGAAACTTACCAAATGCTTGCTGCAATCACAGTGTTGTTCCAATTATTTTAATGAATACTTTATATCTACTGCTGTAGGTATACTTATACCAATCCGTGTTTTTAAGTTCTATTTAATTCACACCTAAGGAAATAATAAAGCAGATATTTCAATAAACTTACCCAATATCATACAAGTAATAGATATCAGAACTTAGATTTAAACAGTGAACTAGAACATTTAGGTCTTTTTTTCCCCTTTTCATCATTTCCTTATAAATATGGGAATTGTTGTAAAGTCAGTATTTAATGTATTAATATGTGCTCCCCCATACTAGAGCTAAGAAAAACAAGCAGTTATGTGGCAAACTTCTTTTTAAAGGCTTACAAGTCTTGTTATTTACCTTAAGAATTGACACAACCTTTCAATCACTTAGGGCATTCTTACCACCCCATAAAAATCTCTCTTTGCAACATTACACTTGCTTTTTTAAAAAAATTGATTCTGCTTAGATTAAAGCACTAAGTGTAATGAGCAAGTTAAGATAACTTTAGCTGAAGAAAGCTTAGAAAGCTTAGATTAGAGTATTATTCATTGGACTTGAAAGAGGCTTTAAATTATATAATTTATATTTTGTTTATAAAAATGAGAGTATATAATGGTAGATATTTGAATGCATGAATAAATGAAAAATTCTTAGTAATAAGCTAGAGACATTTTTTAGCTTCTATTTGATCTCCTTGAATAGTATTTACTGTTTAAAAGTTTGCAACATTCGAAAACTAGTTCTAAAAATTAAGTCTTTAAAAATTGAAATTTAAATTTTTACTTTGTGACACACAAAAAAAGATTTTTTTATAAAATGACTTTCCGGTATGAGAGTACATTTATCATAGACTCATGTAATGTAAGTTACTATTTTATTACATTTTTCTGCTACTTACAAATTATGTAGTTGTAGTTAAGTTGCTTAATGTTTATGAACCTTGATTTTTTTTCATGGATAAGATAAACCTCTGTGATACCTCCCTATTTGAATAATTGTAAGCCTTAAATGAGAGAATGAGAGAATGGATAGAAACTATCTAGCACTGTGCCTGCCACACTGTAGGAACTTTGTTTCTTTTAGGTAGGTAAATTATCTCCTTTCCATCAGCCACAGAAATAACTCAGGAAGCAGACAACATTCACAGGCTTTTCTTCTCTAGATGGAACCATTGTACCAGGGCAGCATGAAAAGATCTATTGCCTAAGTTCCTAACAATTGTTTGTGTGCCGTATGTTTGTATTCTGACATTGTAGCAAAGAATAATATAAATACGTTCTAGTACTAACTCCAGTTTGTATATTTTAGAATGATGGTTGAAGGTCTGCCATGTCATGTGTTTTAAGCATGTAAGTTTTATAAAGTTAGCAATCTAATCACAATAGGATAACATCTGGCTGTCTCTCTCAAAAATATTGGCAATCATAGACAATTAAAACAATTAAATTTATAAAGAATAAGTTGAAATTCCCCTCAAATTGCCATACCTAAAGGGAAAAGTATTTTGGAAAACTTTTTTCTCCTTTTTATCCACCTAGGTTTTCAAAAATGGGAACATATTGAACCCTTGGTTCTACAACTACCTTCTTACAACGAAGTTAGTATGCAGTGCTCTCCAAGTCAATAAGGAAAGTGGTAATGAATCATCATAATAACATTATTAACAATACCTAGTTTTACTGAGCACCTAATATATGTCAGATATTATCTGAAATGCTTCACATGTATTATGATATATGAGATGCGAAATGATTTTGTGAATAGCTATCATTTTGATTCCTAAACAACTTTTCCCAGATCTTAAGTGAAGTAGGTAGCACAGCCTGTCCTCAAACATCTGTCTCTTAAGGCTGAAGAACATGCTTCTATTTTCCTACATCGGTGCCTTTGAATGACACTGAAATTCTCTTTGCTGTAATCTCAGTTACATAATTCTATCTACTTGTTTTAGGCCCTACTTCCAAGCTGTAATGTTCCAAGAGGAAAGGACCAGTTCTATTTTTTCAATCTATGTTACTATAAACATAAATGTCTCACACATAGCCAGCTTTGAATAAGTCAATAAAAAAATTACATGACACCCTTTTAATAGCTACACTGAATTCTTTCATGTGCACATGCTGTGAAGTATGTAACTAGCCCCTTTTCATCTATACTTTTATGTGCCTATAATATCTACCTTTATGACTATCCTCGTATTTACATTCTTGTGCAACTGTTCACATTTTTCTTGTTAGGAAAAAAATCCCCAAATTAGAATTGCTCAATCAAAGCATACCCACATTTAAAATTCAAAGCATACTGTAAAGTACAGTTACTTAGGAAGATTTTTCCAGTATTGCCTTCACAATGTTGAATAAAAGTAACGATTTTCCCCACTTTTTACGACATTTAATATAGGTTTTTTTTTTACAGTTTGAAAGTTTTTAGCCAAAATGAAATCTTACCAAAACTGTAGCACGCTTGCTTCATGGTACAGTAATACTGCTAAAAGGCAAATCTCCAAGTCTCCGTGGCTTAACACAGGTGATTTGAAGTCTGTTGTGCATGGTGAGGGTCTTTGTTTTCATAGTCATTGGGGGATTCATTCTTCTACTGTGGCTCAGCCTTCTTCGAAGGCCTCAATTTTTTCTGTGTGTTCATCCACCAGATGGGTAGAGCAAATGGAGGATTGATCACAAGGGAAGATTTTATGAGCCATGCCAAGAAGTGACTTAATCATTTCCACACGGATTTCATTGGCCAGAACTGAGTTGTATAGCCACCTTTAACTTCAAGGAAGGTTAGGAAGTTAGCATAGCTCTGTGCCCAGGAAAACCGGAGCATTGGTTGAGCAAACAATGAACCAGTCCCTACCTGAGTTTTCCCTTCTGGTCACTAAATAACTGAATCTTCATGCTTTACATAAAACCTACTCATGCCACCCCAAAAAAGACAAGCATTATCCCATACATAAAAGTTAAAGATTCCTGGATAATAGTCTTCTCCAAATGGTCAGGATCTAAAAGGCAATCCCACCTCACCCCTGCAGATATCCCAAATCAAGGGCAGAACTGAGACAGGGTAACCACAACAAAAATTCCCTCCTGGGAAAAGGAGAAATAAGAAGCAAACAGATGTTTCCAGTTCATATCAATATTTAAATACTCCTGGGGATGAGACAGTGATTTTTCCAGATAACGGGAACTCTCTGGCCCGTTATTGTTTATAAACCATCTAGTTGTACCTTATAGTTGATATTTCTTGCACTTTTTTCTTCCATAACTACATCTGGAGTAGGCAGTGAAAAATAAGCTGTTCTTTGGGACTGACTCCTAGAATCTTCCACCTGTATATTCAAGCCTCAGGATGCAAAGGTTTATCTGAGACTCAAGTTATCAAAATGTTATTGTCCAGGATCATTATTTCTTTGTCAATAAGATTTCTTCACAAATGGGTAGGATTTTGATTGATTTTTTAAAAAATCAGTCCCATATAATAGTAAATGCTCCTGTGAGAGGGTTTTATGGACCACACCTGAATGTAGTTTTTACTACTTTTAGCCATGTCCCTTTGGCAAGGACTCAGCAATTATAGCCAAACCTGGATGGCCAGGAGCAGACAATTTTGGTAAACATCAGCCTATTGTTGCCTTAATTATTGGGAAATAAAAAAACCTCTATATTAGGGAATAACTTTGATTCATTTTAATTGTCCTGTTGAAATTTGGATGTAGTCTGTGTATAAAAAAAAGTTACAATTAAAAAAATTACCAAGGAATAAAATTTAAAAATATAAAATCTTGTATCTTCCAGAATTCTTTATTTTTCAATGACAATTAATAAACTATAATTTGGCTACAATATTTTAAAAATACAAAGAATTGAAATGTAATTATGAATAAAACACTGATAAAAATTAAGGAAAAAGTAAACAAATTCTTTCTAGATTCAACAATATAAAAGATTCAATTCTATTTTGATTACTTGTGTTTAAAAATAGGCAAAATTATGATTTTATGTGTATGTATATATGTATATATATAAAAATTATTTCTGCTTTATGTATCAAAAATGATTTCTTATGATTTGAAGGTACAAAACATAAAAATGATAATGCATCATTTTAACTTGGGTTTCCAATGGCTTTAAATCTTTATAATCTATATGTATATCTATCTATCCATCTATCTATCTATAGATCGATCGATCTATCTATCTATCTATCTATCTATCTATCTATCTATCTATCTATACCCATGGAAGAAATAGAAGAATATTTTCAAGTACAAAGCCTGGGATTCCCCAGTTACATAGGTAAAAGGCAAAAGTGAAAGCTAAGTTTAGTCACTTCTCTCTCAGTTGCTGACTTTTCTATTAGTTGGGGCCCATCAAATCCTATTAGTCAAATATTATTAGGTCAAAATATCAAACGCTTAATTACTTTAACACTTTTGTAGTAAGCATCTCCCATATGTGAGACAAAGTGTGATTTAACAGGGATTCAAGAATTAAAAAAGTCAGGTATCTACTATTAAGAGGATTATGGTTGGATGCAGTGGCTACCAAATGGTGTTTCCAAGATGGGAAGAATTATCACCTGTGAACTCATTAGACCAGCATCTTCTCAGACTCCACTAGCCATCTGTTTTTAACAGGCCTTCTGGGTGATTCTGATGCAATCTAAAGATTGACTATGGCTGGTCTAGTGCTGTCCTTTAAGGGCACTTATGGTGTGTGACAGAATATGCTCCCCGCTACCTCTGCTCCATCCTGAGCATTTTTCTAAATTGCAACCAGAAACTTAAAATGTGTAAAAACTGAGCTACAGCACTTAATGTTCCATTTACTATTGTTATGTCCTTTACACATTACAAAAATAAGTATTCCTATAAATGAGTTGCAGCAGACAAGGTCTTGTGAGCATTCAGTAAGCAAACACATAAAAATAAAATGATATAGTAAAATTCAATTCAATTTCTCTCTCTTTAAATCCATTCTTTATTTTTCTAAAATGTATTAAAGTCATTTTCTACTAATAAGGAACAAATCTAAATTCAAGGTCAAGACCGTAAGAGGAAGAAAGCAAGTTTATTATAAACTATGATGTTAAATGTAGACTATAGGATCGAGAAGGAGATTTCACTGTTATCTTTGAACAAAGATTAAAAACAAAGTATGATTAGTTATGTTAGGATGGTTACTATAGAAACATATAAAATGCTTTGTTATAGTTTCATAAAGTTGTTGTGGAAGATATTATTAAAGACCTTAGAAATCCTAAACTTAATAGCTTAAAGGAGTCAGGCAGATAACTTAAATAAGCGATTAGAATCAGATGTAATAAAATGAGGACTGGCTTATGTAGACTGCAGTGATGTGCAGAACAGGCCATTCTGAATTGATAATGCATTTCCCAGGTCAGAGAGGTCAATGCCAAACAGAATATAGATCACATTTCACCAGATCTTCACATTTCTCAAGAGAAGATAGAAACTTGTACATTTAGGTAAAATCTACACATGCTTTAATATTTTAAAATAATTTACATTTTATAATATTGTGTTGGAGAAATGACATACTTCTGAGTGTATACATGCCCTTGAGCACATGCCAGTATACAAATTATGTGTTGCAACATGTTCTTTGTGGAAACTGAAGAGAAAATTATTTCTGCTTTGTGTATCAAAAATGATTTTTTTTGGCCAGGCACGGTGGCTCATGCCTGTAATCCCAGCACTTTGGGAGGCCGAGGTGGGCGGATTCCCTGAGCTCAGGAGTTCGCAACCTGCCTGGGCAACATGGTGAAACCCCATCTCTACTAAAATACAAAAAATTAGCCGGGCATGGCAGCATATTCCTGTAGTCCCAGCTACTCGGGAGGGTGAGGCAGGAGAATTGCTTGAACCTGGGGGGCAGAGGTTGCAGTGAGCCAAGATCGTGCCACTGCACTCCAGCCTGGGCGACAAAGCAAGACTCTGTCTCAAAAGAAAAAAAAAAGTTTTTTTTGATATTTTGAAAGTACAAAACATAAAGTTGATAATGCATCATTTTTAACTTAGGTTTCCAAAGGCTTCAAATCTTTAGCTTCCGTTTTTTATCAACTACTAGGGAATGTATATGTCATTAAGGATTTCATTCTATGTGCCTTTTCATTTTCAACTTCTTGCCTTTCCTAAGCCTCTTCTCTTCCACCATGCATTATTTTTATATTATATTTTATGGTATGGTTAACACAACCAGAATTTCCCTCACCGACTATGTTTTTCTTCAGATGATAGTGCCTTCATTCCCTTTGCTGTAGCCACCACAGATGAGCTGTTACTATTACAGGCCCATTTTAGACTTTCAATGAGATATGAGATCAGGACAAAGATGGTACTTTAAGCTGAACCATGCTTTCTCTTGTTCTTGAGCCATGCTTGTTCAGGCTTTTTTTTTTTTTTCTCAGAAGATAATTACCTGAATTTCAAAGTCCTCTGCATCCATATACATGAGCTTTTCCCCAAGTTTCCCACAAGGTACCATGGTACCTAGGTTGACAAAACTAGCCATAACATGTAACTAGAATAAACACTTCCTTCTAGCAACATAAAAATTAGTACTTACTTTGAGTCCCAGACCAGATTCCCCTTCACTATTTATATACTTCTCTCTAGAACCTCTGTCCTTTGACAAGATTATCCTTCATTTGCACTTATCTAATTATCTTAGATAGACTCTTAAATCTTTGGAACTCAGAAGATCAATACCATTGGGAAAGATTAAGTACAAACATTGGGATTCTCATCTCCAGAGAGGCCCTCTAGGCTTGTATACTTGAGGGATTGGGCATATATTAATTTTCTATTTTGTGTAACAAATTACCGTGCTTTTATGCGCTTGAAACCTATTTATTACATCTCAGTTTTTATTCATTAAGAGTCAGCCTTAACTGACTTAGCTGACTTAACTGAAGCTCTGCTCAGGATCTCACAAGGCTTCAATCAAGTTGCCAGCTGGGCTGTGTTCTCATCTGGAAGCTTGACTGGGGAAGAATCTGCTTTCAAGCTCATTTAGGTTATTGATAGAATTCATTTTTTCTGGCTGCAGAACTCATGGCAGCTTGCATCTTCAAGGCCAGTAGGAAGCTTGTCTGACCTCATGGAGGGCCCAATCCTTCTTTGAATGGCTTTCATATGATTAAGCCAGGCCAATGAATGAGAATCTCCCTTTTGATTGCCTCAGTCAACTGATTCAAAACCTCAATTAAATTTGTAAAATTTTAAACATTTACTATATAAATAAACCTTTTCCATCACTTATTGACCAGAAACCAGCTACAGGTTCTGCCCTTAGAGGAAGGAGAATATACAAGTATGTAGTTCACATACCCTAAGGTTATCTTAGGGTATTTCTTCCAAGGGAGCTTCTGATCTCTACCTGAATACATTTCAATACCTGTGATGACTAATCTCACTTGCCAATAGAATCTTAGCAGCAGGCTGTTTACCAAATGTAACATAGTCTTTTATCTTCATTTGAATAAGACTATGAACACATTATGGTATAGGATTATAATTAAATGATGACATAATTGTGTAAACTCTAAGGAAATATGTATAAAACAAAGAGTTTCCACTAAATGAAAGGATTTGGTTCACCAGTTTCCAATGGGAGACAAGATTTCTCTAACACCAGATTAAAAAAGAAACTCACATGTCATTTTGTTGATAGGCATAAAGTATAGTGTTATTAACATTAATCCTAACTAAAATGTATTGATACTTACTGGACATCTTAGTAAGGTCCACACAAGCTTCATGGCTATAATTGCTGTGTTCTTGCCAAAGGAACATGGCTGAAAGTAGCAAAAACTACATTCAGGCCTGTTCTATAAAAACTTCCCACAGGATCTTGCATCCTCTCTTTTCCCATCTGTTGGCTGAATGCAGAAGACATTCATGCCTCAGAGCAGGGGAGACATACAAGATGGAAGGAATCTGGTCTCTAATTTACAGTATGAAGCCGACTTATCCTTATCTCATTTTATTTTTATAAAAACCCAAAATAGCTTTTCATATTAGGAAATATTAAGAGGTTAGAAAACATGCACATATTTAGGAATATGCTACATCCTAAAAAAGTTTGGAATCAACGTTTCTTTTCTCTGGAGTCTGCATTCAAACGCTATGTGCTATTTCATTTCGCTTTGCTTTGCTGTCATTGTGACAAAGAAATCAAAGGGGTCTTGAATAGAAGTTTATAGAAATAAAAAAAGATGTGATAAGTTTATGAATAGATAAAAATAGACTTTAGAATAGTATATGAATTGAGCTACATAATTGTAAAACAAAGTAGAAACATGCTCAGCTTTTTATTTGCTATTTTAATATTTGGTGAGTGCTGGTTCTATGACAGGCAGTGCCTTAAATTCTGAAAATACAAAAAGGATGCTGTCATTCTATTAGTGAATTTTTTTAAAAAAGCTTAGGAATTTGGATTTTTGAGGTACTTAATTCTGAGATACAACAACAGCTCTTCCACTCACGAATTTTAGAACTTTTGATGAGTTATATGACCTCTGCACATCTGTGGATAAAATATTAGTACTCATCTCATAGAAATATTATAAAGCTTAGATGAGATAATACAGGTTAAGTGTTTAGTGTCCTGCATCTGATATGGTGATCAAATGATGTCAGCTAAAGATGATGATAATAATAATAAATGGAAAATCTAAAATGTATGCTATGTTGTAGAAGCATACAAAGAAAAGATGACTGAATTCACAATGAAGGCCACAAACTGGTGGCCCACATGGGTAAATATCTGGCCCAGAGGTGTGTATTATTGAGCTAACATAATTTCTACATTTATGCAGAGTAAGAATACACTGAATCCTTGGACCACGTAGCATCTAATCTCCACCATCTGCATTCACACTGCTTGTTTTTCTATATTTGCCTAGACCTTTAAGCATTTTGAGTTATAACTCTTAAAATAGAAGCCATTAATGGTTTTTAATGCTGCCTAGACCTCTAGCACAAGAAAACATAAACTTGCTCAGGGGAGGTGTGGCTCCAGTTGAAGAAATCTTATTCTCTGCAAGCATTTGGGGAAGTCTCAGCATCTTATAACATAAGGATACTCTATAGATAAGCAAGAGAATATCATACCGATATCAAAATTAGTCATAGCTAAACATCAAAGGTGACATTAAGTGCACTCATAAAAATATATAATGGTGAAAAAATTAATGTAACCTTCTGATTTTGCAATATCTAGAGAAAACTATCTTTTCTCCCAAAACTGTATTAGGATAGCATAAAGTAGAACAAGTTTAGAGCAACAAAATACATGTGTAACTACTGACATGTATTTAGACAGTGAGAATCCACTCTCTTTTTTGACAAGAATTACATGACCTGTAAGGGACTAAAATGATGTTGACATTCCTCACAGTGTTATGCAACTGACTCAAAGTAAGGACATGGAATATATTGGTTGTCAAAAAGAGCTATGAATCAACTCATCTCTCTTACCTATTTAAGATCTCACACATATTTGTCTAAGGCGTATTTTTGTACTGCTAGTAATAATATGTTCATTTGGTTTATAAAATGGCAAAGCTACAGTCCTTTAAAATACTGGAGCTTAATGGTAGAACATTTTATATGATGTTTACAACTTGAATTTCCCACATGAAAAATTAGAAATAAATAACATTAAAAATTGTATAACTTTGAAATTGCAATGTTGATATGTTAGTTGTTCTAGTAAGACTTACAAGAACTGTGAACTGGTATGAAAAGTAGGCAGAGATTTGCCTTACTAGAATTTTGGGAGTTAGTATAACAGAATTATCTAGAAATGTGAATTGAAACGGAACTACTCATTAGCTGTCCCAAATACTTTAGCCCCAATAATGTAAATATAGCATTGTCTAATAACAGATTGAGCAAAGCTACTAATGCCTTATATAAAATAACTTTGTAGTTGAAAAAATGGATGATCTCATTTAATCCTCACAGCTTCTTCCAAGAACAAGAAGTCATAAAGTGACATTGGAAGTTTTTTTGAGGCATTTTTGTGTAGAATTATTATTCAAATCAGTACAAATAAGTATGTTACAAAAGAAGATTTTTATTTTCTTGATAGAGAAAATAAAAACCAACTCATTGTATATAATGCTTATACTTAAAAGATGCCTATTATGTTCATTTTAGGGGATCATTTTATCGGGTGAAATTATAAGATGCTCAAAATTAGCCATTCGTTCTCAGGGTGGGTACAATGAAATTAACACCAAGTTGTCTTGAAAACTGTGTACCAAATCTGTTTGGGTAAATTATTACATGATAGGGAAAAGTACCTGAGATACATTATATTATTTGAAACTCAGATTATTTTTTTGAAAACAGGCATGATGATTAATGTGTTTACTCCTTAAACATAGGATGATAATGCTGAGTTTTAATGCATGTGCTTAATTAATAAATTAATTGACGTCCTGCATATCTTCAGAAACTAAGAAGGCATTCTAGTGTGCATATGGCACAGTACAATAAATTAAACCAAAATTATTTTATTTTGTTTTATTTTCTCCATACATTGCCTTCATAATGGCTCTGTCACTTCTACTTATTTTGTCCCTTAATGATGTTATGGTCATATTTCATAAGTGGCTGTCCGCTTTCAGTTATACAATCTTTCATTTTAAAGTCCAGTAGAAAATATCAAGCTCAAAAATCAAATAAGTCTATTTTTCCTTAGCCCATCCTTGCTCCTCTGGTTTCTTCTTCTCTTTTCCCTTTCACATTCCCCACACTTGCAGTGCAGACATGAGCTGGGACCCTCATTCCCTGGCTGAATGGGGAGTTGTATGGTCTTTTATGCTATTTTTTGAACTCTGTAAACTCCAGGATTGAGCACTGGGGAGGAATGCCCATGAACATACGTTTCATTTTATAGAAATGAGTTCCTTCTTATATTGAGGGATGTCCCTAAGGTTTTTATGGTTCAGTCTCTTTCCATGTGAGGAATCTGAGGAGTTGGTGGTCTCAACTCATTTGATATACATATTTTCCACAAAGTGGTACGTTTGAGTCTGAGTCAAACTATAATTTGTTTTTAAATCAATGCACTATACATAGGTGACAAAGCCCTAGAATAAAATACAGTAAATTCAATTTTAAGCGTATGTTTCGTGGTGTATTCTAGTATGCATCTCTCTGAGGACCTGGAGAATGACAGATTTTTATAGTATATCTCTTGTTAGTGATTTTCTGAGTGTAAGGTTATTAATTATAATGGCTTCTCTAGTTTGTTCCACTTGGATCAGTACCCACTCCATCTGAAATAAAGCTGAAGAGCTGGATCCCCACAGAGATAGGGGGTGGTGGTGAAATTGGGAGAGGGATAGAGGAAACTTTGCAGGTAATCATTCATTATTATATTTATTCCTCTAACACATACTAATATTATTCCATTTCACTTGAAATGTAGTAATTTATATATAGGTCTATTAGTCCATTCTCACCCTGGTGTAAAGAACTGCTGAGACTGGGTAATGTATAAAAGAAAGAGGTTTAATTGACTCACAGTTCCACATTCTTACAATCATGGCAGAGGGGGAAGCAAACACGTCCTTCTTCATGTGATGGCAGGAAGGAGAAGTGCTGAGCAAAGTGGGCAAGGCCCCTTATAAAACCATCAGATCTCCTGAGAACTCACTCACTAGAACAGAAGCATGGGGGTAAGCACCTCCATGATTCAATTACCTCCCACAGGGTCCCTCCCACAACATGTAGGGATTATGGGAACTACAACTCAAGATGTGATTTGGGTGGGCAAACAGCCAAACCATATCAATAGGTCACATAATTATAATAATATGGAATGCCAAAATGTGTATTTAGAAACACTGATTTTTTGCAATCAGTAAATTTGTGTTGGCTGTATTATTATATGCATATCTTATTATACATATTATGCATATATATTATATAAATATATAAATATATATATTTAGAGTCTGATATTCTAAAATAAGACCCTTTCCAATAAAATTACATCAATCAAGCAATATGTCATTCATAAAATCAGCAAGTAAGTCACCATTGAATAGCCTATATTCCAAGTTTTTGCTTTACATAAAAGCTTTGAAGTATGTAGCAAATGCCACTTTTTCTGATGCTTATAAGATGTAAAAATATAGATGGGTAAATAGATATTGATGTAAATATAAAATATTTCTATTTTGCTTTATTGTGTGTTCTTTAGCTTCTATTTATTTTATATCTGTATATCTAATTCCATTTGATTCAATATAAACTTTATGTCAGTTATATTCCTGCCAGGGTCAGATTATGAAGGTAAGATTTAGTTCCTCCTAAAGGGTCCCACATAATGCTTTTTTAATTGTCAAATAAGTGATGAGTAAAATAAAATCTGATATTTTCTGTTATCAATTTTAGTAGTCTGTAGAATTATTAAATGTCATATTATATTACAGAAATATTTTCTTTGCAGGAGGTGAGTGGGTGTTGGCTAAGAGTGCATTATTTATTCATTTATTTTTGAGATGGAGTCTTGCTCTGTTGCCCAGGCTGGAGTGCAGTGGCGCAATCTCAGCTCACTGCAACCTCCACCTCCTGGGTTCAAGCAATTCTCTGCCTCATCCTCCCGAGTAGCTGGGATTACAGGTGCCCACCACCACACCTGGTTAATTTTTGTATTTTTAGTAGAGACCAGGTTTCAGCATCTTGGCCAGTCTGGTCTTGAACTCCTGACCTTGTGATCCGCCTGCTTCGGCCTCCCAAAGTGCTGGGATTACAGGTGTGAGCCACCACGCCCAGCCAAGAGTGCATTTTTTTAATGCCCTAACTGTATGCTCGAATTGCCTATTGAGTGGAATGACTATATTGCCCAAACCCAGTTACTTTCAAGAGCGGAAAGAGGAGATATTAATCATTGTGCCAGGTTGATAGAGACAAAATGAGACTGTTCTGGATGAACTGAGATGTGAGTGACCTACTGAGAAATCTTGCCCCAGAATAGGGATTTCTTTTTCTGCACCTTTCCCTGGCACTTTAATTAAACTGCCCTACTTACTTCGTACCAGATAGGTTCGCCACGCCTTCTTGCTTTCTTCATCTTGTCTTTGCACCTGCAGTGTTCTCTTCCTTCTTTATCTGACAAAACCCAGCTGCATGTAAAGTTGTAAAAACTTCTTCAGAATTCCTTCCTTGATGCTTCACTTTCTTGTGCCTCTGAGCAAAAGACTGCCTTTCTTCTGCATTGAGGCTGAATGGAAAAGTCACTAAAAGCCTGCTGAGTTTTCCTAGATGCTGGGTTCTGTAAGGACACATTTTCTTCTTGACAGGATAATAATTTGATTATACTGATTATGTGTTCTTCATGCACAATCCCCATTCCAGACTGATTGCTCTCAGAGTTTTATTATAGAAACGCCTCAAGGCATGCTTCATTTTGTAGCGAGAAAATGCTTCATGTGTTTTAAGAGACTTGGTTTCTGTTTTCAGAAGCAATATTGGTGACCTCTAATCCACAAGTTTATGCCTTAAACAATGAGCAGGGCTTTTGTTGTTGTTGTTTTTCTTTCCCTACGTATCCAGATTTGACAAAAATATCGCTGGCTGAGGATAGGAGGAGAATATAAGTGGAGGCATCGTGTTAGATACTGGTGGGAATTTGAAAAATGCTCCTGATCCCTGAATCAGGTCTAGACAATACAGCTAAGGAATCAAATACATTTAATAGTCAAAAGCAGAGAGAACATAATGTACTCCCTAGTTAGAACCTGGGGAAACAAGTTCTGTCCATGAAACACCACCATACCCTAGCAGCAAGAGAAAATAAATGGCAGTATTACATAAACAACAAAGAGGATTGGAGGGAACCGCCCTCTTCCCCAGTCTCTTGCAGCTCAAGAGAGCTGGTAGAGATTAACTGAATTTCCCAAACCCCTGAAAGGGGCAAAGAAGTAGCCCAGAGATGCTAATGAGCATTAAGCACCTGGGTGGTCCTGGGTGCTAGGACTGAGTTGCCATGTGGGATTCTCAGTGGGAACAAGCAGGGATGGTTGTCTCTGTAGGGGAGAGATGACTTCCTGGGTACTGACACTCTTGGTACTCCTCCACCGCCCCCACCTGTCACAGCTAGAAGAGTAAAATACTGAAATGACTATTTAAATTTGCCCGGATAGAATTTACCAGCATTTGAATAATTCAATATTGAAATAGAGATTGAGGTTTTTTTTAAGTAACAAAACTATATTTTTTGTGCATCTTGTTGTAAAATGTACATCAAGCAGCTTTTCAAGTTGAAAGAGAAAGGAAGGATCAAGAACTCACAAAATTGAGGTACTTATAATTTGCCAGGTCTCATGCTTGGTATTTGACATCTATTATCTCATTTATTCTTCCAAATAACTCATTTATTTACAGTATTATTCAGAGTTCCCACAGCAAGTGTGGCTTTATTTAAGGGCTTGCATGCAGACGGTTTATTTTGTAAAGCGAAATCATCCTCAGGAACTTGGGAGGGCCCTAGGAAGAATGACCTAGGGCAGAAAGAAAGACAAGTAAAAAGGTGTCTGTGCATCTGGTCATTGTGGGCAGCAGAGGTTTCACCCATTGAGGAGCTAGGTGATTGTGGAGGAAATTCTTCAGACTTGTCTGTCCAGGGACCCAAAGAAGGAAGTATTTCCCATCAGTTAATGTTTCCTCATTGGTCGTTGGTTGTGCAGTCCCTTGCACATCCAAATTTGTGCATGTATCAGAATCACTGAGCTGGTTCCCATAGGGTCACATGTAAGAGTGGCAAAAAATTCGTTAGCTAGAAAATCAGATATATGCTGGGCATTGAAAGAAAGATGCTGCTTGGATTACATTTGACCACAACTGGTTGCCTTACAGGAGCCAGAATAAAATTAGGCCAAGAGGATGTGAGGTGTGGCATAAAAGTCCCAAGATCCAGGCCAAGATTTGCACATGTGTGACCAGGATGATCGCATGGGATTCTGTGATCAGAAGGGTTCTGCAACTGAGGTTTAATGCTCTGTGAAAAGTCTTATGAGTGTTATCTTTGAGTTTGTGTTGTTGTTTTTTTAAATTATTATTATACTTTAAGTTTTAGGGTACATGTGCACAATGTGCAGGTTAGTTACATATGTATACATGTGCCATGATGGTGTGCTGCACCCATTAACTCCTCATGTAGCATTAGGTGTATCTCCTAATGCTATCCCTCCCCCCTCCCCCCACCACACAACAGTCCCCAGAGTGTGATGTTCCCCTTCCTGTGTCCATGTGTTCTCATTGTTCAATTCCCACCTATGAGTGAGAACATGTGGCGTTTGGTTTTTTGTCCTTGTGATAGTTTACTGAGAATGATGATTTCCAATTTCATCCATGTCCCTACAAAGGACATGAACTCATCATTTTTTATGGCTGCATAGTATTCCATGGTGTATATGTGCCACATTTTCTTAATCCAGTCTATCATTGTTGGACATTTGGGTTGGTTCCAAGTCTTTGCTGTTGTGAATAGTGCCGCAATAAACATACGTGTGCATGTGTCTTTATAGCAGCATGATTTATAGTCCTTTGGGTATATACCCAGTAATGGGATGGCTGGGTCAAATGGTATTTCTAGTTCTAGATCCCTGAGGAATCACCACACTGACTTCCACAATGGTTGAACTAGTTTACAGTCCCACCAACAGTGTAAAAGTGTTCCTATTTCTCCACATCGAGTTTGTGTTTTATAAGTGAAGTCAGATGGGGTAATGGAGCCCGCACTGGGATTTGGATCATCTCCTCACAGTGAGTCTCACCTCTCACAGCCTCCCTATGTTGTTCTTGCCTGGGTTGGTGGCTGCCCAGTCTCTTTTCTCTGGTGACCTGATTATTAGGCTTTATGCCTCCCTTCTGCATCCTGGGGCCACTGCCACCTGCTGCCAGGGGCAATAACCAGGTTGCATTGGTGGATAGAGAAGGGAGGATCATGTTCTATTATTGCAGTTTCTCTTAGTGGGGGCTGAGCATGGGCACAAGAAAGTTCAGGGTCAAGCCCAATTAACGGTGTCATGGGGAGGAGGATGAGGCAATGACTGTCCTCTCCCCTGTGTCAGCACCATGGGGAATTTGACAGGAGGCTTAATGAGATCCTCAGAATACTGACAATCTAGATATTAAGTACAGCTCAGTGTGGAAGAGATTGCCAGTATTTGGGATTCACTCACCTGTAGTGTGTTGGGTCAATAGGAAAGGGACACTGACTTCCCCACTGCGTTAACCTTGTTTTCTAGTTTGTGTATCTGATATTTTGACATCACGGACATTGTTGGCTAGAAAGGGATAGCCCCTCCCAGGGTTAATGGATTCTAGAGAAAGCAAAATACTCTCTGCCTCTTATACTTAAACTAACCAATTCCCCAACCCACATAGTTTATCCCGCTCTCACACTGGGTAACACCAGTTTCTCTTTCCCTACCTTAATTATCTCAGGGCCAGGCATAAGACAACCAGGGACAACCCCTATTCCCTGGAGCCCACTAAATTTATTCAAATTAGTCAATCCTAAATCTGTTTCTCCTGCTTACCCTGTTCTCCCATTTTTTCCCCCGTTAAAAAAACCACAGTACAATCTTTCCTACAGTTTTTCTTGCTTTCTCTCTGCCTGTGACCAACCAACCCTGGTGTTCTCTCATGTGACCTTGCCAGGGCTGGCCTGGCATACCCCCTTCTCCTGGCAACTATGCATAATAAACTGTCTTTTCAGGGTCAGGTGTCTCCTCGTCTATTGATCTCACCATACCTGATTTAAAAAATAAAATCCCACTGGCTGGAGCCAGTTTGTGTTTTTATTTTGGACTACGACCTGTGGTTAGTAGCAAATTCTTCATTCAGGAAACATGAATATAGATAGGCTTAAGTTTCTTGCTTAAAGTCACCTCTATTAAGTGACAGGACTCACACTCTGTCTAACCCTGAGGTTTTGTTGTGCTTATACCATTTTGCCTGCAGTACTGAGGTATGTTTACCCAAGAAGAAGTTAAATAATGTAAGCTGTTCACAATTAGGTGAGAATCCTCCTATTTCATAAATGACCTTCAGTAAAATGTAACATTACGATTTTACCTCTGGTGGGATAGTATATTACCTTGTTCTGGTGGCTTTGAATCGTATGTTTGTACTAACAGAAGACCGCTGCTCAACTTGACATACATCACAGCTTTTGAGGGATTGAATGAACAGGAACAGTTGATACAGTTTCCTAATTTTATAGACACAAAGGTGTGTTTTTGAGATAATAAAATATAGTGCAAAAGAATTGTGAGATACCTGACAGAACACTTTCCTCAGTGCTACAAACATATAAAAACATTTCAAACAAAGGAATTGATCATTAATTAGATTATTTTGAATGTTCTGTAATGTATTTGTTTCATATCAAATGTATAGTAATAATTTACTCTCAACTTATTAGATTAATACCAACATTTGAAATAGTGACTGCTCTCCTCCATGGGCATGTTCTTCATTGCTCTGTTGGGCTACCCTGATATACATATTTCTACTGATCACATGGGCTTCTCTTCATTTTCCACCTATGTCGAATTCATTGATAATGTATTATCCAGCTTCAAAGATTCAAATATCATCTTCCTTCTGGTAATGCACCAATGTATCATTCCAGCCAGAACTGTTTCTGAACCCTTAGTTCTAAATGGGATTTCTACTCACTCATCATTTCAATACCCAGTCAAATAGCACAATTTTTGCATGTAGAATATTGAACTCTTCATGTTTCCTCCCACCCACTATAAAGAAAACCTTCACTTTCAGAAATTTTCCACAACTTAATAATTGGAAGCACAATTTTTTCAGTTGTTCACCTCACAATTATTGGAGCCATCTTTGAATCATCTTCTTTTTTCACTCCCCATATTGGATTTACTAATAAGCTCTCTTAGTTTGACCTTTAGAATATATATAGAATCTGACCCTTCTCATTATCTCAAGTCCAAGGTACCACTCTCTCTACTCTGTCAATTGTTTCCCACATTTCTGCCTTTGTCCCTCTTTATTCTCAACAAAAATCCAAAGACTTCCTAAGGAAAAGCAAATGATGTCATCTCCCTGCTTCAGATCCATCCCACACAAAACCAAAGCAAAGTTCACATTGGGATCCTTCTCTGTTTGCCCCTTCTTACCTCTGGACTTTGTCTTCTTACACAGCCCCCTCTGGTATACCCAGCCTAGCCTCCTCCCGGCTCCTGGGTACACCACTTGGGGCTTTTGCCTGTTCCTGTCCTCAGCCTGGTTCTCTGTCCCCAGATATAAAAAAAAACCCATCTGTACCTCTTACAGCACCTAAATTGATGCCAAAGGAAAAATTAAAGTCCAATAGTTAATTTATATAAATATTCTCTCTGTCCAATGGGAGGCAATTACTACTACTGAATATGCAAGTTTGTACAGAAATGCATGAGGCACTGAGACCTTCACTTGCTAATAATCTAGGTCCTCAATGGGAACACTTAATAACGTTCTGTAAGATAGTATACTTTGTTTCTGTTAAAAATGATGAAATAATGATTTTCTTTATTATTTTAGTTATCTCAACTCATGCATTCATGAGATATAGAATAAAATCTTAGTCCTACATTCAGATGGAATGAACTTTTGGTTTTCATCAAAATTTACTAGACAAACTTAGAGGTATTTAGAGAGACAATTATGAGTGAAAAAGAAACAAGTAATTTAGGAAACAATTTCTTCTTTTAAATTGTATGCTAAGTATAATAAAAGATGTTCAGAAGAATATTTTCGGTTATGTGTATTTAGGTTCACTTTTTTTCAGTATCTCTTTCCGCAAGAATCATGTTTAATGGTAATTATCATTATTAAGAAGTTAATTTATTTATAAATTATAGTGGGATGTTTAAGTAACTTAAGCTAATGTAACACTAATACTGAAAAATATTGGTCTAAGTCTTTGAAAAAACTTTCAACTTAAAAATTCATGTACAGAACCTTGAAGCATAAATATACTATGTACCTTAAAGTATATTATATATTTGAGGGACAAGTCAGACCAATATAAAAATGGTATTTTTTTAAAAAGTAAATGATATGAACTAAAATAAAACTATCTGCAAGTATATGGAAATTCCCAAAAAGTGCCATAATAGGAAAAAAAAAAAAGAAGAAGAAGAAAAGAAGGCAATGAGAAAAAATAAGGGAAGATTATTTAGAAGTGATGAGTTTGAGATAAACTTGGAAGGATTTGGAGATGTAGAATGAAAATAAGAAAAGGATAAAACATAAGCAAATATGTGATCATCAAAGTGATCACAGCTCATATTAGCAACACTGGATGCAATGGACAGAGCAAAGGGTCTGGTTGAGGAATATTAAAAAATAAGGCTATTCACTGTTTAGTCATATTCTGAGGGTTCTCAATTCCAGGAAAAAATGAATTTAAATTGCCAATGGTTGGAATCACTTAAAATTATTCAATGGATGACCATAAACAGATTGCTATAAAGTTCCAGTTAGGAGTAAAATGTGAGAAATGCCTAATCGGATACATTTATTCTTAAGAATACTCTTAAACACACACACACACACACACACACACACACACACCCAAAGCAAACAAGTAAATTAATAAGACAGAAAGAAACCTTAGGAGGTGATGGATATGTTTATGGTGTGACAAAGAGTCAAACACTGTAAAGTATTTGAAGAGGTTTATTCTGGACCAAATGTGAATGACCAATGGCCCAAGACACAGTCTCAGGGCATCCTGAGAACATGTGCCCAAGGTGGTTGGGCTACAGCATGGTTTTATACATTTTAGGGAAACATGGACATTTATCAATATGTTTAAGATGTATATTGGTTTGGTCCAGAAAGGCAGGACAACTGGAAATGGGGGGCTTCCTGGTCCTAAGCAGATTTAAAGATTTTGATTGGCAATTGTTTGAAAGAGTTATTATGTGAAGACCTGGAATCAATAGAAAGAAATGTCTGGGTTAGGATAATGAGTTGTGGATACAGGTTTCATAGGCTTCAGAGCTCTTATCAGACCTAAAAAGTTGCTGGACCTAGTTAATTCTCTCCTAGATCAGGAAAAAGACCTGGAAAGGGAAGGAGATTCTCTACAGAATGTGAATTTTCCCCACAAGAGACAGCTTTTCAGGGTTATTTCAGAATATGTCATAGAAATATATTTGGGGGTGAAATACTTTGATTCCTTTCAGGGCCTGGTATTTGTCATCTGATGCTATACTAGGGTCAGCTGGAATTTGGTGTTTTATTGCTACCAAAAGTCTGTTTTGTCAGTCTTAAGATCTCTATTTTAATATTAATGCTACCCAACTGTGCCTGAATTCCAAAGGGAGGAGAGTATAATGAGGCACGTCCCACCCCTACTTCCCATCATGGCCTGAACTAGTTTTTCAGGTTAACTTTGGAATGCCCTTGGCTGAGGTGAGCATCCATCGGTCAGTTGTGGGGCTTAAAATTTTATTTGTGGTTTACAATGGCGTTGATTTTGGTGATGGTTTTTTTGGGTATATACTTTTCTGTAAACTCATCAAATTGTACACATTAAATACAAGCCACTTTTTATACATAATTAATATCTCAATAAAATAGTTTTTTTTTCATTTTTCATGCTCAGTTTAAATTTAGCTGTACACATTACATTTTATCAGGCAACCCTAGTTGTATGCTCATTGTGCTTTAATAGGTCTAATATATTGTATACTTTTTGAAGTAGCATTAATAGAAAAAAGTAATATCTAACAAATGAGTTTTTCTGCATTTTGTGATATTGCAATAATCTTTTGCTTTAATATTTGCACTGTTTGTCTTTAATAATTTCATTTTAGATCAAATAAATGAGTTCTAGTGCAAGAACATTTTCCAGTTTGGTAAGAACCATGGATTGATATAGTATAACTTAAAACAGGACCAATTAATTTTGAAATGTTCATCAAACTTTATCTTCACTTTCTCACAGCATAGACTTTACTAATTGTATAAATCTGCTTAGTTCTGATAACCAGAGATTCCTAATACAATACCCATGAGGAAAAAAACTAAAACATAATTTCTGAGTTCGTTTATATGCTCCTGATCTGCAATTATATTGGCGCTATCAAGCCACAACTTGATTTATTATTTAATTTATCAAAAAGTCCCTAAAATAGTTTATGACAAACCTAGACATCCCTTTGCAGGTCTTTTTCCTGATCTGGGAGAGAATAACTGGGTCCAGCAACTTTTTAGGTCTGATAAGAGCTCTGAAGGCTGTGAAACCTGTATCCCCAACTCATTATCTTAACCCAGACATTTCTTTCTATTGATTCCAGGTCTTTAAATAATAACTCTTTCAAACAATTGTGAATTAAAATCTTTAAATCTGCTTAGGACCTGGAAGCCCCCATTTCCAGTTGTCCTGCCTTTCTGGACCAAACCAATATACATCTTAAATGTACTGATAAATGTCCATGCTTCCCTAAAATGTACTTTGCTTTGAGTTAACATTATCATATATCGGCAATGAATAAGCCAGGAGAATTCTGCAGTGATAATGTGAACTTGCTGCAGATTTTGAATTCTCACAAACAAGGAAATCAAGTGACTATTATACTAACCTAAATATCATACCACTTAATATTAGATAGATTTTTAGGTATTTGTCAATTTATGCTCTTTAAATAAATTGGTCAAGATTTTAAAAATAATTTCTGACTTGAAAGTGGTTTTCTTTAACAGAGAAAATAACATTTTTCATGTAGAATTTTTATTTCCCTAATCTAACTGAGGTATAAAATGTAGCACTGAGTCTGAATTTCTTAAGTTTGCTTAAGAGACACTTAGAGGAATTTGGAAATTGCCTTATTAACATATATTCTGTTGTTGATACCTTAGTTAAGCTGGTCAGATATTCAGTTTATATACTTATTTATCATAAAGAAAGTCATGATTCACAATGCAGTGTTATTTAAAAACCTGATCCTGAATGCTACTTCCCTACTAGTCTGATTTATATTTTTTTGTTAACATTCTACCAAGCAAGACATATATATGACTGTTTCTGAGTATGTCTGTGTTATGTCTGTGTCTCAACTACTGTACTATGTGTGTTAAAGGCATTATTTTTTAAATGATTATAACATCCAGTCTGTGTCAGCTATTTATCATCATTTATACTGAAGAAGTTAAGATGCAAATAAGTCAATTTACTAGCCTATGGTCACGTCTCTTGTAAGTG
This sequence comes from Homo sapiens, assembly GCF_000001405.40. NCBI lineage: Eukaryota > Metazoa > Chordata > Mammalia > Primates > Hominidae > Homo > Homo sapiens. The sequence goes on along the minus strand of NC_000005.10, from coordinate 19,857,351 downwards.
GTAAATTGGCCTCACACACACAAAATCACACTGTTTAAATTGTATGCTTTCCAGTTGTGACTAGTGACAGAAATCATTGCTTCAACTTTTTTTTTTTTTTTTAGTATTCGTTTATTATTTTAGAGACAGGGTCTCTGTCTGATGCCCAAGCTGGAGTGCAATGGCACAATCATGGCTCACTGCAGCCTCAAAGTCCTGGGCTCAAGTGATCCTCCTGCCTCAGCCTTGGTCCCAAGTGGCTGGATTGCAGGCATGCACCACCACACCTCACTAATTTTCTTTTCAAGTTTTTGTGGAGATGGGATCTCACTATGTTGCCCTGGCTTGTCTCAAACTCCTGGCCTCAAGTGATCCTTCTGCCTCAGCCTTCCAAAGTGTTGGGATTACAATCGTGAGTGATCTTGCCCAACCTGCCTCAAGTTTCTAATTTGGAACTATTTTATTACTTTTAGAAAGAAAAAAAAATCGAGTCAGTGAGTGTGTTCATTTGCTAGGGCTGCCATAACAAATACCAAAGAGTGGGTGGCCGAAACAACAGAAATTTATTTTCTCGCAGTGCTTGAAGCTGGAAGTCCAAGATCAAGGTCCCGAAGAAGTTTTCTCCCGAAATTTCTCTACTTGGCTTGCAGATTTTTATTTTTTTTTTTGCTGCCTCTTTACATAGAAAAACAAATACCTTCTTTTTATAACACTCATCAGATTGAAGTAGGGCTCATGCTAGCAGCCTCATTTTAACTTGATAACCTCTTTGAAGACTTTATTTTTAAACCCGTTCACATTCGGAGGTACTGGAGATTTAGACTTCAACATATAACAGTGATACTTTACAAATCTTTTTATCCATTACTGCAACATTGAAGCCAGAGTAAGTCAAGGATATCTAATATTGGAAAGATGTGTAATCCATCATCATTAGAAATTAGAATGCAAATTTGTACATCTGCCCAGTCTTTTATATTCTCTTGATGGAATATTGCTCATAATTTTTCATCAAAACAGGTAGGGTACACTGTCATCTTGGGTGTATAAAATTTTAGGGCAGTACATTATAAACATTAGTACCATAATCAACTGTAGAACTTGGAAAAACACAGACACCTAGCCCTATCTTCAAAGTTTTAGTAGGTCTTGAATCGAGCCTGGGAATTTGCATTTCCAATCAGCTCTCAGCTGAAGCTGATGCTGCTTGCCAAAATGTAAGTAGCACAGTTCCAAAGCATGCACGCTGACTCAAGTTACTTTTTATTGCTCTTTCTTTTGAGAAATGTGATGATTTCACTTAACGTGTTTATTGAAACAAAGTAGAAGCTCTAGATAATTATTAGGAGAAGTCTTTTGCTGTGAGCATTCCCTTGGCTTTAACTAACCACATGGAATTTCTCTCAATAGAGAAAATAATAACTGTCTTTTCTGCCATTTTCTTCCAAATCCTTCCCTTTTTCTAAAAACCACCTTGAAAATATCTTAAATGAGTTATTTTGAAAAAGATAGTCTTTTTCCCTTTGTTTCAAGTCTGACTTTCCAAATATAGTAACTTCTTAATCTACATAATAGTTGATAAGCTCTTATTTGTTTTAGTGGCATTAAATCAACATGCAATTTTATCTGTTGTAGCTAAAAAGGGTAATAATTATTAAACCATTACTACTGGAAAACATATTGCATTTTGAGGATCAAGCACAGCTGGGAGCTTCTCACCACCTCAAGCACCAGCTGCTCCATTTTCTGTCATTTGTTCAGAATTATTTACACACATGGATGAGTGAGCAGAGGGATGGGGAGGTGCCAAACAGTCTTTTTATTCCAAATTTGTTGATTTTTTATAGATAATAAAAATGTATTGCTTAAAACAAGAAAAAAAATAAAATAAAATGTACACAGAGAAAAGGCTCCTTCCTATCCAATGCACTCTCCCTGATTTTCATCCACCCCCAAATCAAAGATACTATAAATTTATCATATATTCTTTTGAAAATGGTTATGCATAAAGAAGGAGATATAAATGGCTATTTTATCTCATTTAAAAATAGTAGCCCACTAGATGGGCCTTGCAGTCTTTCCCAGCTCTGAAAGTCTGTGAATCATTGGTACCCGAAAGGTGATTCATTTTAAATCATCTTCTTATAAACACATAGGAAACAGAAGAGCAGGGGAACAAGATGAAAGAGAGATAAGAAATAAAGTTCGGGGAACAATGCAGAGATTCAATGAATGGTACGTTCAGTCCTAGGACACACCTAGTCAATATCGGTTATTACTTAGCCATAAAAAAGAATGAAATCTTGTCATTTGCAACAGCATGAGTGGGACTGGAGGACCTGGAGGACATTATGTTAGTTGTAATAGCCAGGCATAGACAGACAAATATTCATGTTCTCATTTATTTAGGGAACTAGAAAAAAAAAAACAAAACTGAACTCATGGAGATAGGGAGTAGCATGATGGTTATCAGAGGCTGGAAAGGATAGTGGGGGGAGGGGGATAAAGGGGGAATGGTTAATGGATACAAAAATACAGTTAGATAGAATGAATACGATCTAGTATTAAGTAGCACATTAGGGTGCTAAAAAAATTAAAAAGTTAAAATAAATAAATAAAAATAGTAGCCTACTATACACTCCTAGGAAACTTGTTATCTTTAAACAATGTCTTGGAGCTCATTCCATATTCATAAGGAGCTGCCTAGTATTCTATTACATGGACCCACTGTAATCCTTTTTACTAGTCGTCTGTAAATGTTAACAGGTGAACTTTTATGGTACCATAACATTTCCATTTTACATAGTGCTAAGTATTACATTAATAGCTACATATGTCATTTTCCATGAGTATGATTAAATATTATAAAAATTGTTCTTCATGAGACATGAAAAGAACATGCTGACCACCTTTTATTCTTGTTTTCTACTGAAATTATATATTTTAGCAATCTGTAGATCAGATTCCTAGAAGTAGAATTTATTAGTCATCAAATATAAAGTTTGAAATTTTGATAGAAATAGACAGATTTCCCTCAAAATGATTGGCCTGTTGTATATAACTATAAGCCCCGTGTAAGGGTTCACACCTCTGGTCACAGTCTTGCCAAATCAGATATCAGACCTTTAGATTTTTTATAATCTGTTGAGTGAGAAATGGAATGCCAAAATTATCCTAACATCCATGTCTCATGAGTAAGGTTGATGGTATTCATGAATATGTTTAAAAGCCCTTCCAAAATTATCCTAATGTCCATGTCTCATGAGTAAAGTTGATGGTATTTGTGATATGTTTAAAAGCCCTGCATGTCTTCTCTGTGAGTTGTTGGGTGGACACTGCCAGATTTTGTAGGGTGGCATTCTTCAGCACTTTGCCTACTTTGCTTATCACATTTGTGCCACGTAGACATTTTCCGTTTTTATGAAGTGGTTTTTAACAATCTTTTCTTTTATGATTTCATAGGCTAAAAAAGGAGTTCTCCCACGATCCACCCTCATATATTTATAGTTGTCCAGATCAGTTGGTTTACACAATGTAAGCATTTTCTGTCTTGTCAGAGAGAGATTGCTTTCAGTGAAGCTGCTGTGTTTGTGTTATTGTGGGTGCAATCTTGCCTCCTCTGGTGAACGATACTAGCTAGGTCCAGAAAGGTTTGCAGCAAAACTTATATCTCCTCCACTCACCTAATTTCCAACTGCACACAGGTTTCAGACCTGAGCATGCACTCTCACCTTTAGAAAGTGTATTTTTGCTGTGATTTACTCCTAATAACTTCAGTTGCTTCTGAAGTCCCTTTCAGTGGTTTCTTGCCCTCATTTTGTTCCATGTGGCACAATAAAAACTACTGTGGTTAATTTCTGTAGCTTTTGGAAGCCCTTACATGTAACTTAGATTGTAAGAATACGTCTCATTATGGACTGAGTGTTTGTGTTTTCCACAAATGTATATGCCCAAGGCTGAACCCCCAGGGTGGCTGTACTTGGAATGGGGGCCTCTAAGCAAGTAATTATGGTTAAATGAAGTCATAAGATCAGTCTGCTCTAATAGCATTGGTGTCCTTAATAGAGATACAGCAGAGAGCTTCCTCTGTCTCTGCCCGAGAACATACATTGAGGAAAGGCCATGTGGGGCATAGGGAACAAGTGGCCATCTGCAAGCAAGGAAGAGAGACCTTATCAGAAATCAAGTCAGCCAGAACCTTGATATGGGACTTTTAGTCTCCAGAACAGTGAGAAAATACATTTCTGTTATTTAAGCCACCTACACTATGGTGTTTTGTTATGACATCCCCAAAAGACTAATGCACATGCCTCTCACAGTTTTACTGGAGGAGGCATTGCAAGTATTTTTTTTATTCTTTATTTTTCACAATCTTGTACTCATTGCTTTTTAGTAAAATTCAGTGGGATATGGAAGTAATGCTGATGTACACATCCAATTTCATACCAGATGTTTCTGGGATAATTCCATTTATAAGTGCAGTTTTCAATACTCCTGAAGGCCACCGGTTGCTCTGGATTATATAGGAAGAATACATGTGTTCTGTTTGGCCAAATGGATTCCTAGAAACCAGTATTCGAATTCTCACTTTTAAAAATCAGTTATTGGAGGATGTGTAGGTAGAGTATGGGTTTTCGTAAAAGTGAACAGGACAACTCAATAAGTTTTCAGTGAGAAAATAAAAAGGGAATATTTGCAGCCTCCCTAATTTATCACCAAAACAGTGACATCATGGTATGCCATGGCTTATACTATCCAGATAATGAAAAGTAGAGAATATTTAGTAAGAGTTTCAATAAAGCTATTGAACTTTAGAAACCTAAGAAGGACTTTAGAAACCTCATGACTTTCTCTTTGGATGTACATGCACACATATAAATCCTCATGGCCCAGACCTACAAGCGAATGCTTCACAAATGTCTGGGTGCCCTCCCCAAAAGTAAACAATGAGAACGGTTACTGTTTACTGATGATGCTAATAATAATATTATTACTAAGTACACTTCAGAGACTGATGCAGGCTAGGCTCTTGGAGATATCTCATGTAACAATTTAGTTATTCATACTGAGCAGTTGTCATTATGCTCTTTTCCAGCATGAGAACTCAAGAGTCTGGCAGAAGTTTGACTTGCTTAGGTAACACCAGTCAACTAATAATGAGTGGTGAACCAAAACTGAAACAGAAATCAGCTTGACCCCAAAGTCCTGGTTACTACCTGGTTAATCTACCACCTGGTCAATCCAGATAGTCTCTCCAGGAAGGACAAATTGTGTAATGAATAATTTTTCTTCTATTTTGGTAATTTATGAAGTTGACATGATACAAGTGAGATATTGCAAATAATCCATTTTATTCCTATTTGACCTTTTCTGAGATGCATTTAATTATCCACGTACACAAAACAATGCTATTAGAAACACATTCTATACATACATTTCCTTTGTTTCTTGTGTAACATAGAAAACTCTATTTTATCAGCTAATGAACTAAAAGGCTGGCTTTCTCTGGAGTTTAAACACACAGATTTTAAGTTAATCTTTTGAACCAAAAGAGATTATTGTCTACTTGACACTATATACGCTTTTCAAGGGGAATATATATATACACACACACACACACATACACACACACATATATATTCCCCAGTAAGATATTGAATATTAAATTATTTTACATTCATACAATATGTGGTATGTGGTAGTAAAAAATAAGTTAAGTATACAAGAGACATAAAATGCATTTATAATTGTGGCAAAAAACTGTTAGATAGTATTAATATGACTCAGTGTAAAGAATGATCAGTTTAGTTTTCTTCTTTCATTTACTCTGCTTGTTGATACAACTGTTAATTATTTTATTTATTTACCTCCAGGACTATATATGCATATTCATTTGGAAGGTAGAAGGGAAGAAGGGAATTTTGGGTTTTTTGGGTTTGTTTTTTTTTTGGCTTTTCTTTTTATATTCAATTTTATTGTTATTTATTTTTTATTTTATTACATAAACTGGTAAATTTTTTATAATAAGAGCAAATAATAGAAACATAATAATAAATATTTTAAGAACAAAAATATAGACCTAGAGAATATACTTTTAAGTCTCTGGAAAAGCCGATATAAAAACCTTCTAAATATTCCCGACAAAGTTATATCAGCTGGAAAGCCTTTATTTTTATAGGACCACAGTGCAGCAGTTATATTAACAACATGGCAAATTCCCCGTGTAAATGGATCTTCAAATTATCTAATAATACTCTCGAGGACATTATACTGTTTTGTTGTTTTTGTGAGTCTTATTATTACTTTTCACTAATATTCAACAAAGTTATACCTTAATACCCAATAAAAATTCATTGGAATATCCACCAGGACCTTTTTGCAACCAGGTGATATATTCAGTCTTTTGAATGACTATGTTATGCAAATATGTTGCCTTATTTGTTCCCTAATTGTTAAAAGCTATAAAGTAGCATAAACAGGATGATGTAAGAACTGGATATATGTACAGCACGTTGCAAATAAAATCTCAATGAGTTCTCAGATAGTAAAAGTAAAAACCTGTTACTTTTCTAAGCCACCTCAGAAAATTAGTTTATGTATATCATTCTATTAATATCTCAAAATTTAGTAACACCTTAAACAATTAGGGTTAATTTTCCTTTTATAGCTCTGGGAGACTGAAAGCAAAATAGATGACTAAGGTCCTCTACAATCTCCCTACTTTCTTTCTGTTTGCCACAGATCAATTTATCAAAATACAATTTATCGGTCATATAAGAAACTTCACTATATGGAAGTTGTTCCTAGAGTTTATCCTAGTTTGCAAGGACAGGAGAATCAGACTCATTTAAACTGTAAGCTTCTTATCTCATTGAGGCTATTAGAAGACATTTGAATATGCATGACTTTGATTTTTCTAAGCTGGTGGAAAGATAATGATAATGTGGTAGAAATAAAAATCACATCTACCCTAAACATTATTTGTAGTTGATTGTAATCATGCATACATTTACTTTATAATTTTAAGATTGTATACTAGTTTTAATAAAAGGTATTAAATTTCGTGCCTCATTTTTATCTTTACATTTTACGAATGGGACAAAAAGTGCCATGTAATAAAAATAAATATGAGTCGAATGCTGAAATGGTGTATCTATATAACAAAAATATTACATACATTTTAAGGACTTATTATTAATCAGGAAGATTTATCAGTCTTTTATCTTCTTTCACTTCATATAATTCTATCTATGACTTAAATACTGTTGTCATATTCATTCAGCACTCAGGGAACTGAAATTTTTTGATATTAACTTATGTCTCAAAGGCCATGACACAAGGTTACAAAAGCATCATGATTCAAATCCATGTCAATTTAAATCCTGTGTTAGAAAAAGATGCTGGACTAAGACAGAACTGTACTCAAATTTCATCTGAGACAAATGACTTCAATGCTATATCTTAGTATCTTCAACTCAAAAATGGTCATAAAACAACTGTAATAAGATAATGGTTTTAAGCATCTAGTGGAGTATATGGAATATAGAGTGCCTCTGTGTGTGTGTGTGTATGCGTGTATATATATGTTCATATATATATATATGTTTATATATATGCGTGTATATATATGTTTATATATATGCGTGTATATATATATGTTTATATATATATGCGTGTATATATATATGTTTATATATATATGCGTGTATATATATATGTTTATATATATATGCGTGTATATATATGTTTATATATATATGCGTGTATATATATGTTTATATATATATGTTTGAAATGCTAATTTGTATACTTCATTGGTACATAAATATTAACAAATTCAACACAAAGCGTACATTTATGGCATCTGGGTATTGTATGAATAAATATATTGATTTAATTGGTGGTTCAATTCTTTCCTCCTTAAAACACATTGTTCTCTAGGCTTCTATGCTACCCCATCTTTCCGAACCCCATTCACTGCACATTTCTTCTTTTTATTTATAGCCTCCTGATCCTCTACTATTAACTCTAGATGTTTAATGCCCAGAACTGTGCCCTATGCCCTATACTCTTCTCTACGTTAATCTCTGCCAACATGATCTTGTTACTCCATGAATTTAACTTTGCAAGGTATCCTGCTGACTCTCATGCCAATACCTTCAGTCCTGACCATTCCACTGAGCTGAGACTAGTTTAATTGGCTGCAAGCTCCACATTTCCTTTCAAATCCATTATGAATAGCAAACATTTACTAAATTTGAAGACAGAGCTATTTATTTGTAAATAGTAGATTTATTTGTTACTTCCTACCTTTTCTGAGACTTTGTGAGTTGTATTCTTCTTTTAATCCATCTATCATAAAATTTAACACATAGCCTTAGCTTTTATATAGGCTATATTATATACATATATATGTGTGTGTGTGTATATATACACATATATATAATATAGCCCATATAAAATGTATATATACACATTATATACATATATGTATATAATATAGCCTATATAAAATGCTATATATAGCATTTTATATGCTATCATCTATATATATAGCATTTTATATGATATATATGTATAGCATTTTATATGCTATCATCTTTGTCTTCACTACCATCATTTCTCACCTGCACTTCTGCAGTAGTCCTCAAACCAGTCCTACATTACCTCTTTTAATCTTCTTGGTGCCCTATATTGCATTCTCCTCATGGAAGCTAGAATGACTTTTAAAATCATTTTATGTTATACACTTCTCAACCCACTGCAGTGTCTTCCTATTTCAATTAGCATGAAATCCATTATCCTGAGTTATATTAACAATATGGTAGAATAGAAAGCCCCAGGCTCTTCTTACATCCCATGGAGACATTATTTCAACAATACATGGACCAATTCTCTTTCAGATAAATTTAGAAACTGATTAAGAGGCTCCTCCTCCATATCAGGTGAGTGTGAAACTAACTGAATCTAAGCTGATAGGAAAGTGTGGCACCCTCTCATCATAATACCTCGCCCTGGTAAAGCATCATGTGGTCTGTAGGAAACTGTAACCTCCTGGTTTCACACCTATTAAGGAAGGAGAGATATTGGACCATGTGTCCAACATTCTAGCTTGTCATGGAAGCTACCTGAGAGACTGATTTTTGTCTCACTTGTTTCAGAGCACTGATGGAATTGGATGTACTCTTCATGCCTAATGGCTCATGAGAAAATTAAATAACCAGGCAGTTTCCTGCCTGCTCCAGAAGACTTGTGCCACAGAAGACAGAGGCTGATACAACTCAGTGGCCTCTGCCTCAAGGGATAAAGAGAAGAGTAAAGAGTATGTCAAATATTCTACCCTTATCAAGGGGCTGCCTAAGGGTCTGCCTTTTGTATAGCCCAGTGAAAGCACTGATGGGCCCACCATAATCTGGATGCATGGGAGCCAATGAGAACAAAAGAGAGTCAAGCATTGTGCTGGTTCTTCAGCGGATGTGCGGTACACCATATAGACACCAGAAAGAGCAAGAAATTATGAGATCTCAAAAAAGGGAAATCAGAAGATTCCTCTAATTAGGAATATACACACATAAGTCAAAAGACATGTCTACAGAGAAAGTTTGAGTGATCTGCGGAATCTTAGTTTAGTTGGAGAAAGTCTTTCTCTGTAGGAAACCATTTTGTAAAGACTGGAAGAGGTGGCTGACTTTCAAATACGCAGATACCAACACAAAGGTAAAAGGAAAATGAACAAACAGGAAAACAGGGCTCAATCAAAAGAGGCATATAAATCTCTAGATACTAACCCTAAAAATGGAAGTATATGAAATATATAACAAAGAATTCAAAATAACCATCTTAAAAATGTCAAGAAGCTCAGTAAAACAATGCATAAACAAAATAAGAATATCAACAAAGAGATTAAATATATAAAAAGAAGCAAGAGTTTGGGATCTGAATAATACAACTAAACTGAAAATTTTAGTGCAAAAGTTCTATAGCAGATTTGAACAAGAATGAAGAATCAGATAACTTAAAGACAGGCCATTTGAAATTATTCAGTCTATGGAGAGAATATAAAACACTGAAGGAAAAAAATATGGAACAACATCAAGTAGATCAGTATGCACATTGTGAGATTCCAATAAAAATAAGAAATTGAGAAAAGATCAATGAGTTTACTTAAAGAAATGATGGCAGAAAACTTCCAAAACATTGGAAAGGGAATAGCTATAATAGATGCAAGTAGCCCAATGAATTTGAAATAGTTTAAACACAAAACTTGCTAAGATACATTACAATCAAACTACTAAAAGTCAAAGATAAGAGAATTTGGAAAGAAACAAAAGAAAAGTGACTCATCACATGAAAGAGAACTTCCACAAGACTATGAACAGATTTCTAAGCAGAAATCATAAAGGCCAGAAGTGACAGGATAATATATTAAAAGTGCTAAAGGTAAAAGAAAAAGAAAAAAAATCTTGCCGACAAAAAATATTATATCCAGCAAGTCTGACCTTCAAAAGTAAAGAGATGAAGATTTTCATAGACTAAATACTGAGGGAGTTCATTACCACAAGACCTGTCTTACAAAAGATTCCAAAAGGAGTCTTTTATTTGAAGTGAAAACATGCTAAACAGCAATTTGAAAATATATGAAAGTACAGCTACCCCTCAGTATATATGGAAGTTCAGTTTCAGGACCCCTGTTTATACCAAAATCTGCATGTAATCAAGTCCAGCAGTTGGTCATGTGGAACCCACATATATGAAAGATGGCCCTCCCTATATATGGGTTTCACATCCCCTGAATATTTTAGCTCCACAATGGGCTGAAAAACGTCCACTAATAAATAGAACTTTATAGTTAAAAATCTATGCTGTTCAAGGGTCAACTGTATTAAGCTTGATAGTAAAGGTAAATATATAGGCAAAAACAGAATGCTGGAATGATGTAACAGTGTTGTGTAAATCACTTTAAATTCTGGTATGAAGGTAAAAGACAAAAGTATAAAAATAACAAATATATTAATTGGTACACAACATAAAAATGTATTTGTGACATCAGTAACATAAAGCATGTTAGTGTGGGTGAAGTAAAAGTGTAGAGTTTTTATATTTAATTGAATATAATTTGTTATCAGCTTAAAATAGATTGTTATAACTATAAGAAGGTTTCTGTAAGTCCCATTGTATGCACAAAAAATGATACTGTGGAAGACACATGAATAAAAAGGAGAAAGAAGTCAAAGAATGTAATTAAAAGAAATTTAAAAAAACACAAAGCAAGGTAGCAAGAGAGGAAAACAGGGATAAAAATAGCTACAAGATAGACAGAAAACAATAACAAAATGGCAATAGAAATTTCTTCCCTCTCAATTATTACTTTAAATATAAATGGATTAAATTTCCAAATCAAAAAATAGTGGCTGAATGAATAAAAATAAGCTCACATTATATGCTTTCTACAATAGACTCACTTTAGATTTCTGGACACAAATCAGTTGAGAGAGAAAGGATAATACATATATATATATTCCATGCAAATGTTAAGCGAAAGAGAGCAAAGGAAAGCTATACTTATATCATACACAATATTCTTTCAGTTAAAAACTGTAGGAAGAGACAAATAAGGGCATTATATAATTATAAATGTATTAACTCAGCAGAAAAAAAACAATTATAAATATATATGCACCCAACATCAGAGCACCTAGATATATAAAACAAATATTGACAGAACTGAATAGAGAATAATACAATAATAGTAGAAATTGTCAATACTAAACTTTCAATAATGTGTAGAACATGCAGACAGAAAATCAATAAAGAAACAGAGAACTTGAACAACACTATGAACCAAATGGCTTTAACAGACATATATGGAACATTACACCCAACTGCATCAAAACACACATTCTTCTCTAGTAGAAATGAACCATTTTCCAGGATAGATCACGTGTTGGGCCACAAAACAAGTCTACAAATTCAAGAAGTGTAAAATGATAGCTGGTGTCTTTTCCAAATACAATGGAAGTTAGGTAGAAATAAATAGCGAAATAAAAACAGAACATTTGTAAATATGTAGAAATTAAACTGCACATTCTTGAACAACCAATGGGTCAAAGAAAAAAGTCAAGAGAAATTAGGAAATATCCTGGGGTCAACCAACAAGGAAACAGAATCATTTATGTTTATTTGTTATTTTTTTTTAATTCTTTGAATTATTCCATGAACTGGATACAAAGAAACTATCTTAACAACTATAATTTGGATATATATTTTTTAAAAGAAGCTGAAAATGTTTAAGAGACAATATTCATTAACATCTTGGTAATATTTAACACTGTGCATGTCTTCTTAGTAAGGGCTAGTGGTTTTTATTCATGTAATGTACAGTATATGTATAATTTTAAAATGTTTCAAACACCAGAAGTCAATTCTGGGCATAAAAAGCAACAAATAAATTTGTTTGAACTGTGTTGGATAGCCATTGAATTGATGAGGGTGTTTACAAATCAGGTTTAGGGAGAAGTAGGAAACAATGGAATTTAGACAGCTAGAAATTATATCAAGTACTTGCCACTAGAACAACATAGCTAGAACCCTTTTAATTTATGCCACTGGATTCTGTCTGTCATATCTGCAGAGCTCACCATCACTATACTTGGGTCTTGAAATAATTGCCACTGCTGTGGAAAATTTCTCAACTGTTCCTACATCTTTCCATCATTTGAGCATATCATTTATGTGCCTCTGTCACTGATGAAATTTCTGATGAAAGGATATAGAAAGAAAGTATTTGGTTCCTGTATTAGTCCATTTTCACACTGCTATAAAGAAACACTCTCAAGACTGGGTAATTTATAGAAGAGAGAGATTTAATTGACTCACAGTTCCGCAAAGCTAAGGAGGCCTCAGGAAACTTACAATATTGGTGGAAGGAGAAACAAACATGCCCTTTTTCACAAGTCTACAGGAGAGAGAATTGCAGAACAAAGGGGAAAGAGCCCCTTATAAAATCATCAGATCTCATGACAACTCATTATCATGAGAAGAGCATGGGGGACTAGTCCCCAGGATCTAGTCACCTTCTATGAGGTCCCTCCCCCAAAATGGGGATAGCAATTCGGATTAGAATTCAAGATGAGATTTGGGTGAGGACACAGAGCCAGACCATATTATTCCACTCCTGACCCCTTGCAAATCTTGTCTTTTTCACATTTCAAAGCACGATTGTACCTTCCCTACAGTCCCTGAAAAATCTTAATTCTTCCCAGAATTAACTCAAATGTCCAAGTCCAAAGTCTCATCTGAGACAAGGCAAGTCACTCCCACCTAGGAGCCTATAAAATCAAAAGCAAGTTAGTTCTTTCATAGATACAATGGGGATAGAGTCATTGGATAAATGCTCCCTGAAATGGGAATAGTTTTGAATAAGAATCAATCTTTGAATTCTTCTCCAATGGGAGAAATTGGCCAAAACAAAGGGGCTACAGGCCCCATGCAGGTCCAAAATCTAGCGGGACAGTCATTAAATCTTAAAGCTCCAAAATAATTTCCTTTTACTCCATGTCTCACATGCAGGGCACACAGATGCAAAGGTTGGGCTCCCATGGCCTAGGGTAGCTCCACTCCTGTGGCTTTTTAGGATACAAGCCCCTGCTCTGGCTGCTTTCACAGCTGGCATTGAGTGTCTTTAGCTTTTTTGATGCACAGTGCAAGCTGTTGGTGGATCTACAATTCTGGTTTCTGGAAGACGGTGGCTGTCATCTCACAGCTTCACTAGGCAGTGCCCCAGTGGGAACTCTATGTCGGGGGTCCGACCTCACATTTCCCTTCTGCACTGCTCTAACAGAGTTTCTCCATGAGGGCTCCACCCCTGCAATAAACTTCTGCTAGCCATCCAGGTGTTCCTATACATCCTCTGAAATCTAGGTGGAGTTTCCCAAACCTCAATTCTTCACTTCTGTGCACCCGCAAGCCCAACACCATGTAGAAGCCACCTGGTGCTTCCAAGCACTTGGTGGAAGGCTCGGTGCTTGCACCCTCTGAAGCAACAAGCTGAGCTGTACCGTGGTCTCTTTTACCCATGGCTGAGACGCAGGGTACCAAGTCTCAAGACTGCACAAAGCAGCAAGGCACTGGGCCTGGCCCAGGAAACCATTTTTTTCCCGCCTAGGACTCTGGGCCTTAGATGGGAGGGGATGCCATGAAGGTCTCTGACATGCCCTGGAGACATTTTCTCCATTGTCTTGGTGAATTACATTTGGCTTCTTGTTACTTATGCAAATTTCTCAAGCTGGCTTCAATTTCTTTCCATAAAATTAGTTTTTCTTTTCTATCACACGATCAGGCTGAAAATTTTCCAAACTTTTATGCTGTGCTTCCCTTTTAAACATAAGTTCCAATGCCAGACCTTCTCTCTCAAGTTCAAAGTTCCACAGATCTCTAGTACACGGACAAAATGGCACCAGTCTCTTTGCTGAAACATAGCAAGAGTGACCTTTTCTCCAGTTCCTAAAAAATTCCTCATGTCTATCTGAGACTGCCTCAGCCTGGACTTCGTTGTCCACATCATTATCCATTATCAGTGTTTGGGTCAAAACCGTTCAACAAGTGTCTAGGAAGTTCCAAATTTTCCCACATCTTCCTATTTTCTTCTGAGCCCTCCAAACTGTTCCTACTTCTTCCTGTTATCTAGTTCCAAAGTCACTTCCACATTTTTGGGTATCTTTATAACAGCACCCCACTCTACTGGTAAAATGTATTGTATTATTTTATTTTCATGCTGCTATAAAGAAATACCCAAGCCTGGGAAATTTATAAAGCAAAGAGGTTTAATTGACTTACAGTTCCACATGGCTGGGGAGGCCTCAGGAAACTTACAGTCATGGCAAAATGGGAAGCAAACATGTTCTTTTTCACAAGGCATCAGGAGAGAGAAGTGCAGAGTGAAGGGAGAAGAGCCCCTTATAAAACCGTCAGATCTTGTGATAACTTACTCACTATCAAGAGAACAGCATGGGGGAGCAGCCCCCATGATCCAATCACCTCCCATGAGGTCCCTTTCCCAAAATGGGGATTACAATTCAGATTACAAATCAAGATGAGAGATAGGTGGGGACACAGAGCCAGACCATATTGGTGCCTAAGTGACTAGTGGTGAAAGTCAGGGCTCGGTTTATCAGAATTCACATATTGGAATGTTCCATGAAAGCAGAAGGGTCTTTGAACACTGCTCAGTCATAAAATGGAAAATGTCTACCACATATTTCTATTGTATTGGTCTCAATCACTGGTTTGTTTTCTTATTATTTGCATTTCAATTTTTTCTAACTTATGCAGAGATGGATTTCTTGCAGTAATGCAGAAAAATTTTATATTTGAAGTTATGTCCTCTTATTATATAGTAAATAAAATTATCTCCATAAGCGCTGTAGTGATGTTTACATTTGTTCTTTTATTCCATAGCACAGTATATATCTATTTTCATAATTGTCATAATTGAGATTCGCAAACATATAAAGCATATGTAGATCAAAATGCATTTATATATTTTTGGAATGACTCACAATCAGTATTGTAAAGAAAACACTCATTTTACATATCTGTAATGCATTGCAAAAGCCACTTTCTTCACCTTGTACTCATAAATTAAGCTTTGTTAAACAACTTAGCATGAAGGGCAAAGATGTTAATTTTATTTGAAAATCACACCAAATGGTGTGAAAGTATTAAAATAACAACACCTTCTATGTCTTCAACAACTTGGCTTCTAAGAAGAAAAGCTAGATAAAGTTTCCTTTTTTTTTTTTTGAAATTCATGATTTGAAAATTAAGAATCTCTTGGGAAATAAAAAGTTTAATATAAATTTATTAAAATAATTTATTACAAATGCTGGAAAGAATATTAAATACAGTTATTCCAGTCACAAATTTTAATAAATGAGGGCAGTGAGACTGAAAAACATGAGATGGTTCACATAAATTAATATAGTAAGTAAACTATCAAAAAATAAAACCTGTGATTTCTGACTCTCTTTCCAATGCTCTTGCCATTTTGAAGCTAGAATAGTATTGCTCTCTCTTATATTTTAGGAGAGTTTTGAAGTTGTTTTGATTTAAATCAGAGGGAAGGATACCTTTGCTTTCAGAAAATATTTGAAAACATAAATTTTATATTTGTCAAATGATAAAAGTGAAATTCCAATTACTCTAATCCTACACAATTGTTGCACAATGGTGAAGTAAGCACTATTACTAACCCTCATTTAAGGAGCGAAATACTCAGAGAAAAATGCCGTGCTCTTGAATCTAATGTGACTTTTTTCCTTCGTGACCAAATCTGTGTAGCATCTTTCCTCAACTGTGTAAGAGAATCATGCTGTAACCAATTATTTGTATTCAGTATTATAAATTAATTATACTGTCATGTCAATTTGTTATTTATTCAGATCTACATTTCAGTTTGTGCTGATTTGCAGGGATGAATTGCATTCAATGAGAAAGTGATTTATTTAGTACTTTTTATTAAATGAAATAGCCATATTCGTGAATCAATGTAATCTTCCTAAACATATATTCAAGCACACATATATAATACTACAGCAAAACTTGATGCAAAATTTATATTCTTTAAATAAGCTTATAATTTCAGTCATTCTTTTTATTTTATTGTATTTTTTGAGACAGAGTTTCATTCTTGTTGCCCAGGCTGGAGTACAATGGCATGATCTCTGCTCACTGCAACACCCATCTCCTGGGTTCAAGCGATTCTCCTGCCTCAGTCTCTCGAGTAGCTGGGATTACAGGCGTGCACCACCATGCCCACCTAGTTTTGTATTTTTAGTAGTGATGGGATTTCACCATGTTGGACAGGCTGGCCTCAAACTCCTGACCTCAAGTGATCTGCCTGCCTCAGCCTTCCAAAATGCTTGGATTACAGTCGTGAGCTACTGCACCCAGCCCAAATTTCAGTCATTCTTTTCTCTCCCATATCCTGTCATTAGTTTTTCAGAAATGTTTTTCGTGTTTTACTTTGTTGCCCAATCATAGTATAACCTACACTCATGTCTTCAACGTGTTGTTTTTTTTTTTTTCTTTTTTTTTTTTTGAGACGGAGTCCCACTCTGTCTCCCAGGCTGGAGTGCAGTGGTGCGATCTCAGATCTAGGCTTACTGCAAGCTCCACCTCCCGGGTTCACGCCATTTTCCTGCCTTAGCCTCCTGAGTAGCTGGGACTACAGGTGACCGCCACCAAGCCCGGCTCATTTTTTTTTTTATTTTTTTATTTTTACTAGAGACGGGTTTCACTGTACTAGCCAGAATGGTCTTGATCTCCTTGCCTTGTGATCTGCCCACCTCGACCTCCCAAAGTGCCGGGATTACAGGCGTGAGCCACCCCACCCGGCCTTCAACTTCTTTTAATTTTAAAAATCAAAACATTTTTCCTCTGTTTATTTACCGCTATTTTTTTCTTTCTTTAATCCTGTCTTTAGATAATTGCTAGAATTATGTGTACTAGAAATCAAGCCTAGTAATGTAATTCCCAAACTTGAAAATCTGCCTTGTCTGTGTGTGAAGTTCATACCCGGGGTAGATATGCAGGACCTATCAAAATTTACACAATCTATAATTCAGCCAATTGACATTGTCACTCACACCCAACTTTACCAATCTGTTCCCCAAACCTGGAGTAATTTTAAGTTGCATTCTTTTTGTTTTCAGCCACCTTTTTCTTTGATCTTTTATTTTCTTCCACTTTACTTACTGAGCACTTTAAGTACCTATTTGATTGCTGTTATGGTCTGTGACAATTTTTCAGCCCTTGGGATATTTTGTCAAAATTTGATGAGTCTTATACAGTAGGTAATTCATGTGTAGTATATATAACAAATTTGTATTATGTCTAACAAAAACAAGAATTATACATATATTTGTCATTGAGAATTAATGGTACAGACAGGAAGGTTCATGTAAAAATGCATGTAGACATATAGGTGTATAGGTTTGTGGATGTGTCCTAGAGATTTTGCATATGTTCTTTGCCTATCAGTATCACATTGCAAAATAGTATCATTTGTATTCAGAGCAAATAGTTAAAAAAACCGTGTTTTGTAACACATATAATTTTCTCTTTCCATTAGGTTGAAAATGGTTGCTTGTGTTCAACTACTGTGAAGAGTTGGAATCAGACAACTACGGCTTTGATTTTCCAAGTGGTTCAGAATGTAAATATGATCTGACCTTTCCCTGATGGACAGTTAAATCATGGACACGCTAAACAATTTACTTTGGACTGTCCTTCCTAAAGATGCTCTGGCTTCTCTCTTGAATGCTCACTAAGCTTTCGTAGCTGACAAGGAAAGGAAGGAAAACTGTGAACTGGAAAGTTATCTTACAATGAAAATTACTAGCACATCTTGCATCTGTCCAGTCCTAGTGTGTCTCTGTTTTGTGCAGAGGTGTTATGGAACTGCTCACCACAGCTCCATCAAGGTGATGAGAAACCAAACCAAACACATTGAAGGTGAAACCGAAGTCCATCATCGTCCCAAAAGGGGATGGGTATGGAATCAGTTCTTTGTTTTAGAAGAACATATGGGACCAGATCCTCAGTATGTTGGAAAGGTAAGATTTTGTTTATTTTGCTGTTTTTTCTATCCTGAGAAATTGTGGGGTAAGATGAGCTCATGTTGGAGAAATATTTGAAGAGATAGACAAATGAAGCAAATTATGTTGTAGAGTGAATTACGCTATAGAAACTACTACTTATACTAGAGAGCTCAAAATAATTATTGTAAAAAGAAAACATTATTCATCATATTATACCTCTCTAAACATTGGCCCATATGTACAAGACTGCATATTCATAACAAGCATATTACTTTTTCTGTTCTCTCTTGTAAGTTGGAAACACTTAATGGAACACACAATTAAGTAATTTTTTCTTTATTACCTTGAAGGTATATTGGAATTCACATGTCACTTATTCGCACACTGACATTTACTGCTATTTTCACATATTGCTCCTGCACATGTGGCTAAAAAGAAGGCACTCTATCATGAAAACATCACACATATTTTCTAATATCATAATTAAATATTAGAAAATATCTAATATTCTCTATTAATTTTTAGAGATGTACTTTTAGCCTTTAAAATCATATGAATATTTTTCAAAACCCAAAGTTAATTTTCATAAAAACATTGAAATCTTTTAATATAGATTAAGTATGCACTGGATATACAGGCTTTGAAAAAAAATCACAATAGAATGAAGTTAACAAAATGATCAGTTATTTCAGGTCAAGTTCCCTTTCTCTCAAAAATGCAGACACGAAAACTTAATGGCTGATCAAACTGTTCAGGAAATTTTGTGGTCAGTAACATGGGAGAGTTTAAGCATGTGTCATCTAGGCTCTAGGATTGAGAACGAAGTGGGAATTGGAGAGGCCTTCTTCTGATTAATTACTGGTTTTTGGAAGTAGCCACACTTCAGTTTGTTCAAAACCTATGGGAGAAACAGCAAGCACAGCAGTAGAATATCCGTGACTGCAGGCTCAGTGGCTTCTATCCCCCGATTGATGATTTATTCTCACTTTAGCACTGTTAGTACTAAAAAAAATAGTATTCCATCTAAGCCGTGGCGCTTCCCTAATGTGTAGGCAGTACAGGATCACAAGCCATCTGTTCCACCCCTTGTCCAACAGGGACTGGGTTACAGCTGCATTTTCTATACAAGGCAGGAGCTGTGGAGTCAGAATATAGAACATAAAAAAAGATCTAAAACAATTGTATCATATTCTCATATGCATATTAAAATGAGACAGAAGAACTATCTTCATTGTATGCTTTTTTCCCTACCAAGTATTTCATAAAATAAATTTTTAAAAATGTAATAACATCAAAGCATAATATATTAGATTAGTAGAAATTTACCTGGGTTATGAACTTCAAAATCCTTTTTTTTTTAAAAAAATTATACCTTTAAGTTCTGGGATACATGTGCAGAATATGCAGGTTTGTTGCATAGGTATACACGTGCCATGGTGGTTTGCTGCACCCATCAACCCGTCATCTACATTAGATATTTCTCCTAATGCTATTCCTCCCCTAGCCCCCAACCCCAGACAGGCCCTGGTGTGTGTTTTTTCCCACTCTGTGTCCATGTGTTCTCATTGTTCAACCCCCACTTATGAGTGAGAACATGTGGTGTTTGGTTTTCTGTTTCTGTGTTAGTTTGCTGCGAATGATGGTTTCCAGCTTCATCCATGTCCTTGCAAAGGACATGAACTCATCCTTTTTTATGGCTGCATAGTATTCCCTGGTATAAATGTGTCACATTTTATTTATCCAGTTTATCATTGATGGGCATTTGGGATGGTTCCAAGTCTTTGCTATTGTGAACAGTGCTACAATAAACATAGGTGTGCAAGTGTCTTTATAGTAGAATGATTTATAATCCTTTGGGTATATACCCAGTAATGGGATTGCTGGGTCAAATGGTATTTC
The DNA here is from genome assembly GCF_000001405.40 of Homo sapiens. Lineage (NCBI taxonomy): Eukaryota > Metazoa > Chordata > Mammalia > Primates > Hominidae > Homo > Homo sapiens. The sequence goes on along the minus strand of NC_000005.10, from coordinate 19,836,874 downwards.
TGATCCTTTAGGAATCACCTTACACCTTATACAAAAATTAACTCAAGATGGATTAAAGACTTAAATCTAAGACCTATAACCATAAAAACCCTGGAAGAAAAGCTATGCAATAATATTCAGGATGTAGGCGTGGGCAAAGACTTCATGACTAAAACACAAAAAGCAATGGCAATAAAAGCCAAAATTGACAAATGAAATCTAATTAAAGTAAAGAGCCTCTGCACAGCAAAAGAAGCTATCATCAGAGTGAACAGGCAACCTAAAGAATGGGAGAAAATGTTTGCCATCTATCCATCTGGCAAAGGGTTAATATCCAGAATCTACAAAGAACTTAAACAAATTTGCCAGAAAAAAACAAACACCCCCTTCAAAAAGTAGGCAAAGGATATGAACAGACACTTCTCAAAAGAAGAAATTTATGCAGCCAACAAACATATGAAGAAAAGTACATCATCACTGGACATTAGAGAAATGCAAATAAAAAACACAGTGAAATACCATCTAATGCCAGGTAGAATGGCGGTCATTAAAAAGTCAGGAAACAACAGATGCTGGAGAGGATGTGGAGAAATAGGAACACTTTTCCACTGTTGGTGGGAGTGTAAATTAGTTCAATCAAAATCCTTTTTCTGTATCCTTTCCATCCTTGAAATTAGCACAAGAAAAGAATCATTAAAATTGCCCTTTTTGGAATAAACCAAGAGGAAAACTATTTTATTATTAAAAATATTTTATGATGCATATTTCTTAAAATTTTAATCTAACTAAGAAACAGAAACAAAATTTTCTGGAAAAGGGAGGGAAATTCAGACAACTTGTTTTTCAGGCTCGCCTAGTTTTGGTAAAAGATGAAGCCTCAATAGGAAGATCAGTTCTAAACAATCTTTCTGGAATTGAATGAACATATGGTGCCAATGAACATATGGTTGAGAGCTCCTCACATATCAGGAGGCGATGGAGGTTTGTGATGCTGTTCAGGTTTGTGGCGGTTCTGTGAAACTGTTGTCTATTCTGTTGTCTGTAGTATGGATGGACAAATGCACAGGTATAAAAGGTCAAACATGAAAGTGTGTCCTCTTATTCCTCATCTGACCCAGGGACACCTCGCTCATAGTCTTTCTACTTTATTCTAATTTGCCTTTATGGGCAATTCTAACTTAATTGTACAGATTTTTTTTCTCCCACACACCCCCTGTAACATAAATGCTTAACTAAAAATTAAAAACTAAAAACTGCAAAGCTCAGCAATTACTATATGCTTAAAATAATTCCCTTCTGTGCCATTATTTTAACTTGCTTAGAAAATTAATTTAACCTCACATTTATAAATACATTCATAGTGAACCAATTATTTTCATAGTACTCTTTTTTTTCTTTATTTCTTCTAAAAAAATACAGAGAAACAAACAAACAAAAAAAAGGGATACATGTGCAAAACGTGCAGGGTTGTGCCATGGTGGTTTGCTGCACCTATTGACCTGTCTTCTAAGTTCCCTCCCCACCCCCCAACAGGCCCTGGTGTGTGTTTTTTCCCTCTCTGTGTCCATGTGTTCTCAATGTTCAACTCCCACTTATGAGTGAGAACGTGGTATTTGGTTTTCTGTTCCTGTGTTAGTTTGCTGAGGATGATGGCTTTCAGCTTCATCCATGTCCCTGCAAAGGACATGATCTCATTCCTTTTTATGGCTGCATACTACTCCATGGTGTATATGTACCACATTTTCTTAATTTAGTCTATTATTGATAGGCATTTGGGTTGGTTCCATGTCTTTGCTATTGTAAATAGTGCTGCAATTAACATACATGTGCATGTGTCTTTATACTAGAATGATTTATAGTCCTTTGGGTATATATCCAGTAATGAGATTGCTGGGTCAACTGGTATTTCTAATTCTAGATCCTTGAGGAATTCCCACACTGTTTTCCACAATGGTTGAACCAATTTACATTCCCATCGACAGTGTAAATGTGTTCCTATTTCTCTGGGGCCTTGCCAGCATCTACTGCAATCAAATTAGAACTCAGAATTTAAAAACTCACTCAAAATCATGCAATTTCAATTTCATGCAACCTGCTCCTGAATGACTCCTGGGTAAATAATGAAATTAAGGCAGAAATCAAGAAGTTATTTGAAACCAATGAGAACCATGAGACAACACACCAGAATCTCTGGGACACAGCTAAAGCAGTGTTAAGAGGGAAATTTATAGCACTAAATTCACATATCAGAAAGCTAGAAAGGTCTCAAATCGACACCTTAACATCACAATTTAAAGAACTAAAGAGGCAAGAACAAACTAATCCAGAAGCTAGCAGAAGACAAGAAATAACTAAGATCAGAGAAGAACTGAAGGAGATAGGGGCATGAAAACCCTCCAAAAAATCAGTGAATCCAGGAGCTGTTTTTTTTGAAAAAAATTAACAAAATAAATGGACTGTTAGCTAGACTAATAAAGAAGAGAGAGAAGAATCAAATAGATATAATAAAAAATGATAAAGGAGATATCACCACTGTCCCCACAGAAATACAAACTACCATCAGAGAATACTATAAACACCTCCATGCAAGTAAACTAGAAAATCTAAAAGAAATGGATAAATTCCTGGATGTATACACCCTACTACGACTAAGCCAGGAATAAGTTAAGTCCCTGAATAGACCAAAAACAAGTTCTGAAATTGAGTCAGTAACTAATAGCCTACCAATAAAAAAAAAAAAAAATCCCAGGACCAGATAGATTCACAGCTGAATTCTACCAGAAATATAAAAAGGGGCTGGTACCATTCCTTCTGAAACTATTCCAAACAATTGAAAAGAAGGGACTCCTCCCTAACTCATTTTATGAAGCCGGCATCATCCTGATACCAAAACCAGGAAGAGACACAACAACAAAAAAATCTTCAGGCCGATATCCCTGATGAACATCAATGAGAAAATCCTCAGTAAAATACTGAGAAACAATCCAGCAGCACATCAAAAAACTTACTCACCCAAATCAAGTTAGCTTCATCCCTGGGATTCAAGGCTGGTTCAACATATGCAAATCAATAAATGTAATCCATCACATAAACAGAACCAAAGAGAAACACCACATGATTATCTCAATAGATGGAGAAAAGGCCTTTGATAAAATTTAACATCCGTTCATGTTAAAAACTCTCAATAAACTAGGTATTGATGGAACATATATCAAAATAATAAGAGCTATTCATGACAAACCCACATCCAATATCATATTGAATGAGCAAAAGCTGGAAGTATTTCCTTTGAAAACTAATACAAGACAACGATGCCCTCTCTCACCACTCCTATTCAAAATAGTATTGGAAGTTCTGGCCAGGGCAATCAGGCAAGAGAAAGAAATAAAAGGTATTCAGATAGGAAGAGTGGAACTGAAGTTGTCTCTGTTTGCAGATGACATGATTTTACATTTAGAAAACCCCATCATCTAAGCCCAAAATTTCCTTAAGCTGGTAAGCAACTTCAGCAAACTCTCAGGATACAAAATCGATATGCAAACATCACAAGCATTCCTTTACACCAACAATAGGCAAGGAGAGAGCCATGAATGAACTCCCATTCATGATTGCTCCAAAGGGAATAAAATACCTAGGTATACAGCTAACAAGGGATGTGAAGGACCTCTTTAAGGAGAACTAAAAACCACTGCTCAAGAAAATAAGAGAGGACACAAACAAATGAAAAAACATTCCATCCTCATGGATAGGAAGAATCAATATCATGAAAATCGCCATATTGCCCAAAGTAATTTGTAGATTCAATGCTATTCCCATCAAACTACCATTGACATTCTTCACAAAATTAGAAAAAAACTATTTTAAATTGCATATGAAATCAAAGAAGACCCCATATAGCCAAGAGAATCCTAAGCAAAAAGAACAAAGCTAGAGGCATCACATTACCTGACTTCAAAGTATACTACAAACCTATAGTAACCAAAACAGCAGGGTGCTGGTACCAAAACATATAGAGCAACGGAGCAGAACAGAGACCTCAGAAATAACACCACACATCTGCAACCATCTGATCTTCGACAAATCTGACAAAAACAAGCAATAGGGAAAATATCTCCTATACAGTAAATGATGCTGGGAAAACTGGCCAGACATATGCAGGAAACTGAAACCGGACCCCTTCCTTACACCTTATACGAACATTAACTCAAGATGGACTAAAGAGTTAAATATAAAACCTTAAACCATAAAAATCTTAGAAGAAAACCTAAGCAATACCATATAGGACATAGGCGTGTGCTAAGACTTCATGACAAAAACGCCAAAAGAAATTTCATAGCAGTCTTGTATAAAAAGTAGAATTATTGTGATCACTGTAAACGTGAGAAGGGATAACTCCAAAAAGCTGAGAAGTATCTTTTCTATTCCTCCCTGTCACAGAAATGCCAGCAAACATTTTGTCAACAGACCTAAAATAATGCTCATAAAATGCAGTTCTGGTATTAAAAGAATGTTTTTTTAATAGATGAATTAGGTAAGATTATTCCAAATTATCTTTGAACTCGATTGAAATTTTTGTATCTATAGTTATATTTTACGTTATAAAATAATATTAAGTAGACTTGAAAAAATTTCTACCTTTATTTTAGATTCAAAGGGCACATGTGCATTTTTGTTACATGTATATATTGTGCGATGCTGAGGTTTGGGGTGTGATCAAACCCATTACCCAGGTAGTAAGCACAGTAATCAATAGGTAGTTTTTCAACCCTTCCTCCCCTTTCTACTTCACCCCCGCTTGTAGTCCCCTGTCTAATGTTCATATCTTTATATCCATGAATACCTTGTGTTCAGCTCCCACTTACAAGTGAGAATACATATTTGAATTTCTGTTTCTGTGTTAGCTCACTTGGGATAATGGCTTCCAGTTGTATCCACATTGCTGCAAAGGACATGATTTTGTTCTTTTTTATGGCTGTGTAGTATTTCATTATGCATATGTGTCACATTTTCTTTATTTAATCCACCATTGAGGGACACCTAAGTTATTGAATCCATGTCTTTGCTACTGTGAATAGTGCTGCAATGAACATATGGGTGTATTTGTCTTTTTGTTAGAACAATTTATTTTGGGGGAGGGGGTATATATCCATTAGTGGGTTGGATGGTTTGAACAGTAGTTCTATTTCTAGTTCTTTGAGAAATCTCTAACCTGCTTTCCACAGTGGATGAACTAATTAACATTCCCACCAAGAGTGTATGTGTTCCCTTTTCTCCACAGTCCTGCTAGCATCTATTATTTTTTAACTTTTTAATGATAGCCATTCTGACTGGTGTGAGATGGTGTCTTATTGTGGTTTTGATTTGCATTTCTCTGATAATTAGTGGTGATAAATATTTTTAACATGCTTGTTGGCTACTTGTATGTCTTCTTTTGAGAAGTGTCTGTTTATGTCCCATTTTTAATAGGGTTGTTTTTTGCTTTTTCTCTTATGTTCCTTACAGATTCTAGATATTATACCTTTGTAGGATGCAGTTTGCAAAAATTTTCTCCCATTCTATAGTTTGTCTCTTTACTCTGTTGATAGTTTCTTTTGTTGTGCAGAAGCTCTTTAGTATGACTAGATGTTACTTGTCACTTTTTGTTTTGTTTTGTGATTGCTTTTCAGTACTTAGCCATAAATTATTTGCCAAGGCTTATGTCAAGAAAGACATGTAGTTTTATTTTTTATTTTAGGTTTGTTATATAGGTAAATTGTGTGTCACATGGGTTTATTGTACAGATTATTTCATTACCCAGGTAATAAGCATAGTACCTGATAGGTACTTTTTCAATCCTCATCCTCCTTTCACCCTTCACTCTCACAAAGACTCCAGTATCTGTTGTCCCCTTCTTTGTGTTTATATGTACTCAAAGTTCAGCTACCACTTATAAATGAGAACATGAAGTATGTGGTTTTCTCTTCCTGCGTTAGTTTGTGTCAGGTTATGGCCTCCACCTCTATCCATGTTCCTGAAAAGGATGTGATCTCATACATTTTCAAGGCTGTGTAGTATTCCATGGTTTGTATGTGCCGCATGGTCATTATCCAGGATACTCTTAATGGGCATTTAGATTGATTTCATAACTTTGCTATTGTTAATGGTGCAGTGACAAACATATGCGTATATGTGTGGTTATAGTAGGATGATTTATATTCCTTTGGGCATATACCCAATACCTGGATTGCTGGGTGAAATGGTACCTCTCCTTTAAGTTTTTAGAAAAATTGCCACACTGATTTCCACCATGACTAAACTTATTTATATTCCCATCAGCAGTGTATAAGTTCTCCCTTTTCTTCATGACCTTGTCATCATTTTTTATTTCTTGACTTTAGTAATAGCTATTCTGACTGTAGTAAGATGGTATCAAATTGTGGTTTTAATTTGCATTTATCTAACGATTAGTGATGTTGTGTGTTTTTTCATATGCTTGTTGGCTGGGTATATGTCTTCTTTTGAAAATGTCTGTGTCTTTTGCCCACTTTTTAATGGAGTTCTTTGATGCTTTTTCTTTCTAATTTGTTTAATTTTCATATAGATTCTGGATATTAGACCGTTGTGTGATGCATAGTTTCTAAATATTTTCTCCCATTGCATAAGTTGTCTGTTAACTCTGTTGATAGTTTCTTCTGCTGTGCTGAAGCACTTTAGTTTAACTAGGTCCCATTTGTCATTTTTTGTTTAGTTGCAATTGCTTTTGGCAGCTTCATCATAAAATCTTTGCTGGGACCTATGTCCAGAATGATATTTCTTAGGTCATCTTCCAGGGTTTTTATAGCTTTAGATTTTATATTTAAATCCTTAATTCATTTTAAGTTCATTGTTGTAAATGATGTAAGGAAGGAGTCTAGCTTCAACCTTCTTCATATGGCTATACCGTTATCCTAGCATTATTTATTGAATAGCGAGCCTTTTCCCCATTGCTTGTTTTTTGTCGACTTTGTCAAAGGTCAGATGTTGGTAGGTATGTGGCTTTATTTCTGGCCTCTCTATTCTGTTCCCTTGATCTTTTGGTCCATTTTTTTGTACTTGTACCATGTTGTTTTGGTTACTATAGCCTTGTAATATAGTTTGAAGTTGAGTGACATGATGCCTGCATCAAGCTATTCAAGCTCTTTTTTGGTTTCATATGAATTTTCAGATAGTTTTTGCAAATTCTGTGAAGAATGAAATTGACAGTTTGATAGCAATAGCATTGAATCTGTAAACTGCTTTGGGCAGTATGGCCGTTTTAACAATATTAGGTATTCCTATCCATGAGCATGGAACATTTTTCCATTTGTTTATGTCATCTCTGATTTCTTTGAATATTGTTTTGAAATTCTCATCGTCAATACCTTTCACCTCCCTGATTAGGTATATTCCTATAAAATTTATTATTTTTGTGACTATTGTGAATGAAATTGCATTATTGTTTTGGCTCTTAGCTTGGATGTTGTTCTTGTATATAAGTGCTACTGATTTTTGTACAATGATTTTTTATCCTGAGATTTTGCTTAAGTTGTTTATCAGACTTAGGAGCTTTTAGACAAAGACTATAGGGTTTTCTAGGTATAGGATTATATCATTTGCAAACAGAAAAAGTTTGACTTCCTCTCTTTCTATTTGGATGGTTTTTATTTCTTTCTCTTGCCTGAATGCTGTAGCCAGGACTTCCAGTACTATATTGAACAGCAGTGGTGTGAGTGGTCATGTTTGTTTTGGTCTGTTTCTGAAGGGGAATACTTCCAGCTTTTGCTCATTCAGTATGTTGATCACTATGGATTTTTCATAGATGGCTCCTGTTATTTACTTATTAATTAATTAATTTATTTTTGAGAGGGAGTCTTACTGTGTCACCTAGGCTAGAGTGCAATGGCATGATCTTGGCTCACTGCAAATTCCGTCTCCTGGGTTCAAGCGATTCTTCTGTCTCAGCCTGCTGAGTAGCTGGGATTACAGGCACATGCCACCACGCCCAGCTAATTTTTGTATTTTTAGTAGAGACAGGGTTTCACCATGTTGGCCAGGGCTGGTCTCGAACTCCTGACCTTAAGTGATCCTCCCGCCTTGGCCTCCCAAAGTACTGGGGTTACAGGCATGAGCCACAGCGCCCAGCCGGCTCCTGTTATTTTGAAGTAAGTTCCTTCAGTGCCTCGTTTGTTGAGGTTTCTTTAACATGAAGCGATGTTGTATTTTACCAGAAACCTTTTCTGCATCTATCGAGATGATTATTTGGTTTTGTATTTACTTCTGTTGCTGTGATGAATCACGCTTATTGATTTGCAATGTTGAACCAATTATGCATCCCAGGCATAAAGCCTACTTGATCATGGTGGAGTAGCTTTTTGATGTGCTGCTGGATTTGGTTTGCTAGTATTTTTTGAATGTAAAAAGTTTCTGAGTATAAATTTATCAAGAATATTGGCCTGCAGTGTTGTTGTTGTTGTTGCTGTTGTTTTTGTTGTGTATCTGACAGATTTTTGTATCAGGATGATGCTGGCCTTGTAGACTGAGTTAGGGAGAAGTCCATCCTTCTCAATTTTTTGAAATAGTTTCTATAGGAATGGTACCAACTCTTCCTTATACATCTTTTCAGTTCTGAGTCTGTGTGGTCATGGAGTTTTTCTGGTTGGTAAGACTCTTATTACTGATTCAATTTCAGATTCCATTATTATTGTATTCAGGGATTCAATTTCTTCCTGGTTCAAATTTAAGAGGTTGTATATTTCCAGGAATTTATTCATTTCTTTTAGGTTGTCTAGTTTGTGTGCATAGAGGTGTTTGTAGTAGTTACTGAGGGTTTTTTGTATTTCTGTGGGGTCATTGGTAATGTACCCTTTGTAATTTCTAATTGTGTTTATATGGATCTTTTCTCTTTTTTACTTTATTAGTCTAGCTACAAGTCTATCAATCTAATTTATTCTTTCAAAGAACCAACTTCTGGATATGCTGATGTTTTGTATGGCGTGTCACATATCAATTTCCTTCAGTTTAGCTTCTGTTTTTGGTTATTTCTTATCTTCTGCAAACTTTGTGGTTGGTTTGCTCTTATTTCGGTGTCAGAGTCTTGATTTGATATCTTTCTAACGTTTTGAAGTGGGCACTTAGTACTGTAAACTTCTCTCTTAATACTGCTTTAGATGTATCCCAGATATTCTAGTATGGTGTATCTTTTTTCTCATGAATATCAAACAATTTCTTGATTCTGACTTAATTTCATTGTTTACTTAAAAGTAATTCAGGAGTAGCCTGTTTACTTTCCACATCTTTGTATGATTTTGAGCAATTTTCTTAGTATTCATTTCTATTTTTATTGTGCAATGGTCCAAGAGTATGTTTGGTATGATTTCAGCATTCTTGAATTTGCTTAGGGTTGTTTTATTTTTTATTGTGTGGGTGATTTTACAGTTTATGTCATTTGTAGATGAGAAGAATTTACAATCTGTTTTTCAGAGGGGTGGAGAGTTCTGTAGATATTTGTTAAACTCATTTGGTCAAATGTCAAGTTTGGGTCCCAAATATTTTAAGTTTTTTTTTTTTTTTTGCCTTGATAACTTGTCCGATATTGTCAGTGTGGTGTTGAAGTCTCCTACTATTACTGTGGTGTTATCCAATTCTCTTTGTAAATTTCTAAGAACTTGCTTTATGAACTTGGGACATCCTGTTTGGTGTATTTATATTTAAGATAGTTAAGTCTGCTTGTTGAACTGAACCCTTTCCCATCATGTAACACTTTTTCTTTTTGCCTTTTTTGTTCATTGGTTTAAAGTCTGTTTTGTCTGAAATTACAATAACAACCCTCACTTTTTTTCTGTTTGCCATTTTCTTGGTAGATTTTTCTCCATCCCCTTACTTTGAGCCTGTGGGTATCATTGCATGTAAGAAGGGTCACTTCTTGACTGCGTGGAGTTGAGTCTTGTTTCTTCATCTCACTTACCACTCTGTGCCTTTAACTGGGACATTCAGCCCATTTACATTCGAGGTTAATATTGATATGTGCAGGTTTCATCCTGTCATTTTGTTGTTAGCTGGTTATTATGCAGATTTGATTGTGTAGTTGCTTTATAGTGTCAATGATCTATGCACTTAGTGTGTTTTTGTTCTGGCTGGTAATGGTATTTCTCTTCCATCTATGGCACTCCCATAAGGACCTCCTGTTAGGCAGGTCTGGTGGTAACAAATTCTCTTAGCATTTGCTTGTCTGAAAAGAACCTTATTTCTCTTTTGCTTATGAATCTTAGATTGGCTGGATATGAAATTCTTGGTTGTAACTTCTTTTCTTTTCTTTAAGAATGCTAAATATAGTCCCCTAGTCACTTCTGGCCTGTAGGATTTCTGCTGAAATGTTCACTGTTAGCCTGATGAGTTTCCCTTTGTAGGTGACTTGCCTCTTCTTTCTAGTTGCCTTTAACATTTTTTCTTTCATTTCAAACTTGGAGAATCTGATGACTGTGTCTTAGGGAATGGTCATCTTTATAGTACCTCACAGGGATTCTCTGCCTTTCTTGGATTTGAGTGTTGGCCTCCTTAGCAAGTTTGGGGAAGTTTTTGTGGATAATGTCTTCAAATCTGTTTTCCAAGTTGCTTGATTTCTCTTCCTCTCTTTCAGCGAGCCACTGAGTCATAGATTTGGTCTCTTTACATAATCTCATATTTCTTGGAGGTTTTGTTCATTTTTCTTATATTGCTTTTTCTTTATTTTTCATGCCTGTTACTTCAGAGAACCAGTCTTTGAGTCTGAGATTATTTCCTCAGCTTGGTCAATTTTGCTGTTAATACTTGGGATTGTATTATGAGATTCTTGGAGTTTTTCAGCTCTGTTAGTTCCATTTGGTTCTTTCTTAAAATGGCCATTTCATCTTTTATCTCCAGTATCATTTTATTATATTCCTTAGATTTCTTGGATTGGGTTTCAACTTTCTCCTGAACATTGATGATCTTCATTCCTATCCATGTTCTAAATTGCATTTCTGACATTTCAGCTATTTCATCCTGGTTAAGAACTCTTGCCGGAAGCAACCATGGTCATTTGAAGCAAGAAGACACTCTGGCTTTTTGAGTTGCTAGAGTTCTTGTACTAGTTTTTTTCTCATCTGTGTTGGCTATTATTCTTTCAATCTTTGAAGTTGCTGTCCTTTGCATAAGTTTTGTTTGCTTTTATCTTCTTTGATGCCCTTGAGAGTTTGATTATTGTATAAGGTGGATTCTATTGACAAGCTTTGAATCTAGTTTGCCCCTGGATCTTGAATGTACTCCTTTCAATTACTGTCTCTGTGTCCATGTTTCTTTTGTTAGGTGTTCTGGTCTATGCAGCTCCCTCAGACAGGGGCAACAGTTGGCAGACAGGCTGTATCCTTGCGGTGTCAGCCCTAATCTGCTGTCCAGTGCTTCCCAGGGGAACATGGGGTTGCACCTGCCTGCAGAGTTCAGGCAGAAGTGGGACTACTGGGCTGGAAGCTCTAGTGGGTGTAGCCCATCTAGCTTTGAGAGGCAGGAGTGGGTAGAATTACCCCTCCTGCTGTCTGCGTGTTTTTGAGGTTAACTGGAGGCTGTTTCCCTTGGCAAATATAAGCAGAAATAAGACCAGTGTGCTGGAAGCTCTAGCTGGCATTGCTTGCCTGACTCCAAGAGGCAAGGGTGGGTTGAGTCACCCACCCTGCCATCTGGATGCTTCCTGGGACAACAGGAGTCTGTGCCCACTTGCTGAGTTCACACAGAAGTGGGAATGCTGGACTGGAAACTCTAGCAGGCACTGTCTACCTGGCTACCAGTGGCAGGAGCGGGTGAGGTCACTTGCCCTGCTATCTGGATGCTTCCTGGGACAACCAGAAGCTGTGCATTCCAGCTGAGTTCACAAAAAAGTAAAACCACTAGGTCAAAAGGTCTAGCAGGTGCTGCCCACCTGGTTACCAGTGCCAGGGATGGGTGTGATTATCTGCCTTGCTGTCCAGGTGCTTTCTGGGACAATAGAAGGTTGTACCCACTGTACCCACTGGTTGAATCCATACAGATGCAAGGACACTGGGCCAGAAGCTCTAGCAAGTGTTGCCCACACAGCTACCAGTTGCAGGGTTGGATTGGGTCACCCTCTCTGTCATCTGGGTGTTTTCCAAGACAACAGAAGGTTGTGTCCTTTGGCTGAGTTCACACAGAAGTGGGACTGCTGGGCCTGAAGCTGGTGTGAAGCCCCATCCAGCTAGGAGGAGTGAAGCAATCTTACTACTCACAGGCACCAAAACTGGGGCCTCTACGGGGGATATGGTGCTGGTGCTCATCTGCTTTGGGACCCAAGGCTTGTAAAAGTTTTGTTGAACTCCAAAGTTGCCACTTCAAAATGTCCGGGTGGCTCTCTGCCTGTCTAGAAGCATGGTAGTGGGGAAGGCATGGGGAACTTGGGAGGATTCTCTCATTTCCAGTCTTGCACAAGTTCCTGTGGAGAACATGAATCCCCTAGGAGCTCTCGATCACTCACCCTTTCCCATACTGGGGAGGTTCTCCTGTCTCCATGGTGAGCCCAGACAGGCTGGTGTCTAGCTCTACTCCTCTCTGCTCTCTGTGTCACTTTGCTGCCTTGATGGGTCCCGACGTGGTTTCTCAGTTGATCAGCTTGCAGGGTCAGTATTCACTAGCCTGTTTTGCTCCCCCTCTGTGAGAGGAGCACACATGAGCTTCTAATCTGCCATCTTCTATCCAATTATTGGACCACGTATATTATTCCACTGTGCCTTAGCATCTACATCAAACGTGAATTCAACACATTGCAGAAACTTTTGATGTTAGCTATTTCTTTACTTCTGTTAGTTTTGGGATTCTTTTATTTTTTATTTTTTTTTGTATTTCTATTTCCCCTAGTTGTGATGTTAAGGTTATTAATTAATTTTGTTATTTACTCAAAAGTCATTTAGGAGCAAGTTGTTTAACTTTCATGTAATTGTGTGGTTTTGGGAGATCATCTAGTTTTGATTTCTATTTTCATTCCTCTGTGATCTGAGAGTATGTTTAACACACTGCTGATACTTTTGAATTGATTGAGACTTGCTTTATGACCAAGCATGTGGTTGATCTTAGAGTGTGTTCTGTGTGTAGACCAGAAGAATGTGTATTCTGTGGTTGTTGGGTGAAATATTTTGTAGGTGTCTATTACCTCTAATTGGCTCAGTGTCAAATTTATGTTCAGAATTTCTTTGTTAGTTTTCTGCCTTAATGATCTGTCTAAAGCTGTCAGTGGGGTGATAAGTCCTCCACTATTTTATTGTGGCTAAGTCTTCTCTTAGGTCTAGAAGTACTTGTTTTATAAATCTCTATGCTCCAATATTGAGTGCATGTATATTTAGGTGAGTTATGTCTTCTTGTTGAATTGTGTTGTGGGAAGTTAGGGACCCCGAACGGAGGGACCAGCTGAAGTCATGGCAGAAGAATGTGGATTATGAAGATTTCATGGACATTTGTTAGTTTCCCAAATTAATACTTTTATAATTTCTTATTCCTGTCTTTACTGCAATCTCTGAACATAAATTGTGAAGATTTCATGGACACTTATCACTTCCCCAATCAATACCCTTGTGATTCCCTATGCCTGTCTTTACTTTAATCTCTTAATCCCATCATTTTTGTAAGCTGAGGAGGATGTATGTCACCTCAGGACCCTGTGATGATTGTGTTAACTGCACAAATTGTTGTGTAGAGCATGTGTGTTTGAACAATATGAAATCTGGGCACCTTGAAAAAAGAACAGGTTAACAGCAATGTTCAGGGAACAAGACAGATAACCTTAAACTCTGACCGCCGGTGAGCCAGGCGGAACAGAGCCATATTTCTCTTCTTTGAAAAGCAAATGGGAGAAATATCACTGAATTCTTTTTCTCAGCAAGGAACATCCCTGAGAAAGAGAATGCGTCCCTGAGGGTGGGCCTCTAAAATGGCCCCCTTGGGTGTGGCTGTCTTTTATGGTCGAGCTGTAGGGATGAAATAAGCCCCAGTCTCCCATAGCACTCCCAGGCTTATTAGGACAAGAAAATTCCCGCCTAATAAATTTTTGGTCAGACCAGTTGCCTCCTCTCAAATCCTGTCTCCTGATAAAATGTTATCAATGACAATGCGTGCCCGAAACTTCATTACCAATTTTAATTTCGCCCCAGTCCTGTGGTCCTGTGATCTCGCCCTGCCTCCATTTGCCTTGTGATATTCTATTACCTTGTGAAGCACATGCTCTCTGTGACCCACACCCTATTCGTACACTCCCTCCCCTTTGAAAATCACTAATAAAAACTTGCTGGTTTTGCGGCTTGTGGGGCATCACGGAACCTACTGACATGTGATGTCTGCCCCGGATGCCCAGCTTTAAAATTTCTCTCTTTTTTACTCTGTCCCTTTATTTCTCAAACTGGCTGACACTTAGGGAAAATAGAAAAGAACCTACGTGAAATATCGGGGGTGAGTTTTGCCTGATATCTGGCTGAATTTCCCCAGATAGAATTGAACCTTTTATGATTATGTAATGCCCCTTTTTGTCCTTTCTTATTGTTGTTGGTTTAATCTGCTTTGTCTGATTTAAGAATAACAACGCCTCCTCTTGTTTCCATTTACATGACAGATTTTTCTCTATCCCTTTACTTTGATCCTATGGGTGTCATTACATGTGAGCTGGACCTTTTGAAGCCAAAAGATGGATGGTCTTGGTTATTCATCCAAATTGCCACTCTGTGTCTTTTAAGTGAGAGTGTTTAGAGCACCTACATTCAAGTTTAATTTTGATATTACATTCAAGGTGAAGTTTTGATCCGGTTGTGATGTTGTTAGCTGTTTATATTGTAGTCTCAATTGTATAGTTACTTTTAAGGGTCTGTCACTAAGTACTTAAGTGTGTCTTTGTGGAAGCAGGTATCATTATTTTGTCTTGATATTTAGAACTCTCTTCAGGATTTCTTGTAAGGCTGGTCTAGTGGTAGGAAATTCCCATAGCAGTTGCTTGTCGAGAAAAGATTTTTTTCTTCTTTACTTATGAAGCTTAATTTGCTGGGATATGAAATTCTTGTTTGGAATTAATTTTCTTTAAGGATGCTGAAAATAGGGCCCTGATCTCTTCAGGCTTGTAAGGTTTCTGCTGAGAAGTCCACTGTTAGCCTGATGGGGTTCCCTTTGTAAGTGATTTGACACTTTTCTCTAGCTTCCTTTAAGATTTTTTCTTTCACTTTGACCTTGGAAACCCTGATGACTATGTGTCTTGTGGGTAGTCATCTTGTATAGTGTCTTACAGAGATTTTCTAGATTTTATTTTACGTTTGCTTGTCTACCTCTCTAGCAAGATTGGGAAAATTTCTGTTGACTATATCCTCAAATATGTTTTCCAAGTTGCTTACTGTCTCTCCATCTCTCAGGAATTGTGGGTTTGTTCTCTTTACATAATCACATGTTTCTCAAAGTTATTGTTCATTTTAAAAATTCTTTTTCCTTTTTTTTTTTTTTGTTTTTTGTTTTTTGGTTAACTGGGTTGATTTGAAGGACCAGTCTCTGAGCTCAAAAATTCTTTTCTAAGCTTGGTCTAGTCTATTGTTGTGGCTTCAAACTTGTTTTGAAATTCCCTGTAGTACCTTTTTCAATGCCAGAAGTTCAAGTATGTTTCTTTCTAAAAATGGCTACGTCATTGTTGCACTCTAGGATCATTGTACTGGCTTCTTTGGATTGGGTTTCAACTTTCTCTTGGATCTTGTTGAGCTTCCTTGCCATCCAAACTCTGAATCCTATGTCTGTCACTTCTGTCATCTCAATCTGCTTAGAATCCATTGCCGGGGAGCTAGTGTAGTCTTCGTAGGTAAGAGAGTACTCCAAAGATTAAATTAATGGAGTTTTTGTGCCAATGTCTTCTCATCTGAGATGAGTAACGTTTCATTATTTTTTTGAAGTTTCTGTTATTGCGATGAAGCTTTTTGGTTTTATTTTTATTTTTTTTCCTGTTGTGTGTTTGATTGAGATGAATGTTATGTATTATGGATTGGTTGTGTTTCTTTGTGCTTTTAGAGTCCAAGGCTCTGTATGGGTTCCTTAGTTGTAGCTGGCTTCCTGCCTTGGGTTTCACAGGTGATCCAGGTAGAGAAATTTATTTTTATTTGGTGGTACAATTCAGGGTGAGATCCAGTAGATGAGACCCTCACCAACTCCATTCCTGGGCCTTGGGGGAACCCCTTCCAAATACTGGTGCTAGGTCCCCATTTCTTTAGGCTCAAACAGGTCCCTGGCAGGCTGCACTCTCTCACAGGGGCTACTTGAGTCAAAGGTTAGTCCACCAGGGGACATGCCATTCACTGGGGACCTTTTGGTCCTCTGAGTTTGGCAGAGTCAAAGTGGGTTGTGGGGTATGTCTACAAGTGGTCTGTTAATGCGGTGGGCCTAGGGTGGAGGATCCCTAGACAAGGAAGTGGTGCCATTGGTGTGTAGCTGTTGTGGCACCTATGGCCCAGGATATTTTGCCAAACAGATGGCTGTGGGAACTGCCCAGCTGTCACTCCCCTGTTGGTTTCTCCCTCTGTTGTCTACTCCAGGAGCAGGTCTGAACAGCTAGTTTTGTGCCAAACCTTCTGTGCCCGGATTGCTAGGTCACTCTGGGTGTTCTGGGCTCTAGGGCTGCCTTAGGGAGAAATTGCAGCTGGCCAACTTGCTACACTCTTTCTTGTCTGGTTTTGTGGAGAGAGGGATGACCAACTCCCATGCCAGCACACAAACCCATACATCAGACATTGGTTTCAATGTTCTGAGAGTAGGGGCTCATCCCCAACTTGAGCACAAGTCCCAGATCTTACCTCAATACTCCTGGGTGTTTTGCTCAAACCCTGGAGGGTTGGGACTAAGCCCAAAGCTTTGAAAGCTTTGTCCTCTGGGACCCCTGACTCTACTGGGGAGGGGCAAACTGCTCTCAGGCCACTGGAAAAACACTCAGCTGGGGCAATGGAGGCTGTGCTGTGTGCCTCCTCTTATGGGAGTGGCCAGGCAGGGACCTCGGGAGGGGCCAGCTAAAAAGGGGTTTTGTAAATCAGATGCACCATGGTCCTGTGGGAAAGGCAGCCCTGTTCTCCCAACCTGGCCATTCACAGGAGCCAGAGCCACTCAGAGCAAGATGGAGAGCCTTGGGGGATGGACACTTATGGTTGTGTTTTGCAGCAGCTGCCTCCCACACAAAACCTTTTGGGCTCTGTGCAAGCCTCTGCCTCCTCTCTGGGAAGTTCCCCTTGCCAATTCAAATATCTGTGGGGTTCATGGGATCTCTTGTAGCTGGGATCCCACCTACAATGCGAGTGTGCTGCCTCACAGTTCCTTCACTCACCCCTTCCTTAGGACCTGGTCAGAACTGGGAGCCATTCTTGACACTTGGAGACTCCATATAGGCTTCCTAGCTTTGTCCCTATTCACCCTCGGTGTCTTCATCACTTCTCCATTGACTTTGAGTGTTTTCTCTCAAAAGATCTGTTCAGAATGTGATGGTTTACTCGATATTTTAGCTTCTCTTGTTGGAAGAGACATCTCCTGGCTGTGTCTAGTTGGCCATCTTATTCTACTTTACTAAATTTTTAATAAGAGTTCAAGCCCAAGTATTTTGATATGTACTAGCTTCCCTTATGTTTCTTATAATAATTTTTAAACATTTTCTCAATGATTAGATTTATTATGATATAATTAATTCTGTTGACATTAATCAATATATATTATTCTTTACTAATATATATACATGTGGCTAAAGCCATGATTTTAGAGAACTTTGTAATAATAAATGATAAATTGTATACAGAGGTATAAACACATATATGTATATATACATGTATTACTTATATAAATATATATGATAATCCATAAGTCACATTTTTTTCCAACATGTAATTGCCATTAGAGTTCAAGTATCCAAACTAGCGGAGGGATATATCTCATAGATCTGATTACTTGTTAAAGATCTTTTAAAATAATTGAAGGATTACGATAAGAAAATAATAGTAGCAAATTTAGTAAAAAGTAACTGATTTTCTCCTGAAACAAATTATAGTCATGTGCCACATAATGACATTTCAGTCAACTATGGAAAGAATATATGATGGACTATAGTGCATATTATATTGTACTGTTTTTATGTTTAGATATGCATATACTTATTATTGTGTTACAATTATCTATGGTATTCAGTACAGTAACATGCTATACAGGTTTCTAGCCTAGGAGCAATAGGCTGCACCATATAGCCTGTGTGCCTGTGTGGCTATTGCATCTCGGTTTGTGTAAGTATACCCTGTGATGTTCACAAAAACACAGAATTGCTTAACGATGCACTTCTCAGAATGTATTTCCATCCTTAAATGAAGCACGACTGTATATAATAATTAGTCACTATAATTTTAAAACAATTTGTTCGTTCTTTTTAAAAAATCGTGTAAAAACTAACAGACTAGTTAGTCTATTTTTCATTTTTCAAAAGTTGAATAGTGCTGAATGAATCATGTTGTAAATAAGAGTATAATTTTACTTAAGATATTACACACATCCTACAATTCATGTCATACATCATAATGCTCATTATAATAGACTTCTTGTCTTCATGAGATAATAATAATTACTGAGTGAGGAGCTAAGCTTGAGTTATAACTCATCCATTTACTTCCTGTATTACAATTGTTAAGTCTCTTTAATTCCTTGCATCTTTGTAAAATTGAAAAATACTGTTGACATTTTGATTACGAATTGAAGTATATTATAAAGTTTGGTTTATGGTTTAGATCAGGGTTCAGTTAAGCTACAGTCTGTGTGTCAAAGCTAGCCCACTGTCTGTTTTTGTATTGCCTACATACAATTCTGTTTCCTTTTTAAATTTTGGGAAAAAAATGGAAAGAAAATAATATTTTGTGATACCTGGAATTTATATAAAATTTATATTTTAGAGTCCATAAATAACATGTTATGGGGACATAGACACACAAATTTATTTATGTATTATCTATGGCTAATTTCATGCCATAATGGCAGAACTGAGTAGTTGCAACAGAGGGAGTAGGACTCACAAATTCAAAAATATTCAGTATTGACCATTCACAGGAAATGTTTTTGAGCTCCTGGGTAAGAAGTCTACCTCAAAAAAATATATCATACATGTCTTGGGATCAGGTTCTGGAATTATTGTATCTTTATACACACAGTACCTGTCATAGTGCCTGCCTAGTAGAATGATCAAATGTTGTAATTCACTGGAAAGTTTGCCATGAACTATAAACTTTGATAGCCATATTAATGATTGCAGTGATTATTTAAAATGATTAAACAAATTCTGTCTTATTAATCAGTACTTTTATTGATGAGTTTTTGGAAGTCTCTACCTCACTACTTTCACTGATGTACTCACCCCTCTCCCATTATTAACTTAATGAGTATTTATTGTCTCTTGTTACTTTTTTGCTATTACATGTAATAATGTTATGAATGTCCTTGTACACATATCATGTAGCACACATATTGGTATATCTGTAGGAGAGATTTCTGTAAGTGAGATTCCGATTCAAAGATAAGTAAGTTTAATTTTGATAGCTATCACTAGAGCCTCCTCCATAGATGTTGCAGTATCTCCCTTTGCCAATGATGTGTAAGAGTGTTTGTTTCTTTACAGAGATAACAACACATAGGGTTGTTTTTAAAACTTGGAATTATGCAAACATGATGGGTGAAAAAAAGATATCCCCGTGTACTTTAAATTTATATTTCTTGTATTATGAGTAAAATTGATGATGTTTTCCAATTTTGAGGAGATGTAATTATTTCTTTTTTATTAACTGCCTATTTATGGCCTTTATTTTACATTATTTTTCTAGTCTGTTTAACTTATCAGCCCTATTAATTCTTTACATAATAGGTGCAGTAGTTCTTTGTCAGTGATAAAAGTTATTAATAATTTTTCACAGTTGACATTTGTCTTTTAACTTTGTTCATGATGTTTTGTTTAATAAAATTATTATTTTAATATAGTAATTCTTTGCACTCTTTTGACTGAAATTATATTTTGTTTGACCTAGGACTTTCTAAGCCATGAGGGTACTGGTTTTCAGAGTTAATAGCAGTTGAGAAAAATGAATTCCTTAGCCCTTTTTATCTTCGGTTTAACACCTGTATTAAATTTTTTTTATTAAATAAAAAAGAATGATGCAGCAGTGAAATTGCTTATGTTAGGGACTAGAAATTATAATTTAAAATACATCTGACTTCCTATTTTTAGTCATTAACTATTGACTAGATTGGATTTATGTTTCATATTTACCAATGAAATATTCTAGAGGTGAAGGTTGTTATTGTGAAGTGTGTGGATTATTAATGTAATATGTTAGGAATATTTAAACATCTGCAATTGATATAATTTAACTAAGGAGACATTTAAAATCATGTCTGTTTTGCTAAAGCAAAGCTGCTGGCAATATGCTTCATAAATTTCAAGTGCTAAGTCCTTGTGATTAGCTAGATGTTGTGCTCCATAAATGCATATTATTTTCATTTTAAAAACACCATTGATGATGTTTTTAACTGACTAAACAGTCTTTCTTAAGAAAATTAAGAAACTCTATGTTTATCTCCAAGTATTTGTAAGTGGATCTTGTCCACATTGCACTATTTGACCATTAAAGAGGATAGGAATAAAAATTAAAAAGAATAGATAAGAGACCAAATAGTGTGCCATATTGTTTAGGCTAAAATATTCTAATCTATTACCAATGTTGCCTTAGAATCTTGGCTATATTGACATTAAAAATAGTTCATTAATAAAAGTTAATAAAAACATTGTTTTCTGAATAAACAAAAGAATGACGTTCTCTATCTTCACTGTATTTATGGTGTATCTGTTTATAACTGTTAGAATTTTCTCTAGATATAAATCGTATGTTGAAGATTTTGCTTACATCTGTTAAGAACTTGGTTACTAAAATTCTCCCACTCACTCATCTGTTTACCTGTGTCCTATCATGTGTGAATAAATAGGTGTAGATTTCTTTATTAAACAAAAACAACTACAAGAAACAGAGGGTAAGGAAAAAGTTCCAGTGAAATAAAAAAACTGAGAAACTATTTTGCTGAATTCCTCAAGTGATAGAAAGGAGCGATGCTCAAAACAGTTAAGAGGCCTCTTCGTGTTCATAGGATTAGTTACGGAGGTGTCAAAAAAATTGAGATATCCAGTTCCTTAATGAAAATCACTTTGCAATATAGAGGGCATAAAATACGTCTCTCATCATCACTATCACTGACCTTATTCTATATTTTTCATTACTTAGAAGACAACCTTCAATTTTTTTTTAATATGAAGATATTTAATATGTATTTTCAAATTAAAGAAATGAATTTTAGGTTAAAGAGAGAATAAATCATGTAAAAGGAAATAGAAAGTTTCAAGCTTTTTAGAAAAAAGATAGCTTTTATGTCATCATAAACTCTGAATTAAAAATTAAATGTACAACAAGAAAAGGTCTCAATTGTCATCCAATATTGTCAAGATGATAACTATATAAACATGTTTTCATAGCTTCCTTGAAATGGGAAAGCTTTTATATCAAAACGTGACATCTGAATCTTATACAAATGACAACATGATGACATGGTGTCATGTAAAATTAATTATAGCACACAATTCTACGTGAATATATAACTTTTCCAGTAGTCATCATGAAAACAACTATTTAGATACAGTCCTCCAACAAACTGGATGCAGAGAAAATGAATTTTATTTGAGTATATTATATTCAGCTTGTAGTAACTTAGGAGTTTTTTAAATAAATCAGATTTAATTAAGGTTAATTATGTTTTTAGAGAATAAGTGATATTTTATTTGAATAATTCAGCAAATGTTTAATGAAAGCATTTCCTAAGTCTACACTGACAAATTTTTAAAGTTCAGCAATACACATTATGGGCACAGTGTATATATTTATTCACATTGTGAACTTTATATTATCATACAAACATACTAATCTATGTGTGTGTGTCCATGTGTGTGTGTGTGTGTGTGTGTGTGTGTAACAATTTTGCTAAACCAGAGGTGACTTTGATGCTAGAGGGCATTTGGCAATATTTGGAAACATTTTTTTTTCCAGGGCTTGTCTATTAGTTACAATTGGCCTAGGAAAATGTTTTAATACATTTTTATCAGAATAAAAAATGAAAATGAGTATTATTCAACCTGCATTCTATTATTGTTTCTATCAGTTTTCTTTGTAAATCAAATTTATTTTTTAATTGATAAAAGGACCTACAAGTGCAAAAGGGTATAGGGTTCGTGAAAGTTTTAACGCCCTCCTGGGATTTGGTTTTAAATGACTATAGGTGTAGTGCTCCTGGTATGTAGTTTGTAGAGCCCTGCTAAATATTCTATAACACATAGAACAACCAGCCACCAACAAATAATCATCCAGTCCAAAATTGCAATAGTGCCAGGGTTGAGAAATTATGTGTATATTGCATTTGTATGTATATGCAATTTGTGTGCATATGCAAGAGTGTTTTTTTTTAGGACATAATTCATGCCTGGAAGGCCAAACCAAAACCAATAGTATTATCTATTGTTTCTGTGAGTGTGGGAGTAATATTCGTTAAGCAACAAGGGAAACATTTGATTTGCTCATATTATTGGGTATTTTTACAATAAAAGTTCATTTGTTATATTACTTTAATAATAAAATAATTTTTGAAACATAAATAAAGTCTCAATAGTCTATTGAGACTTTATTTATTTTAAATTATTTTAATGTCATGCTAGCAAAAGAGCCTCTTTCTTCTCCCATATTAAATTTATTTTTTTTAAAATCTGCACACACACAAAAAGACAATATTCTCCTATCCTCCTCATCCCTAAGGTTGTTACGTCTTCTGGATAATACTTCTGGTTATACTACCAGAAGCTGGTTTTGACTTATTTTGGCTTATTTTATTTGTTCTCAATAGACTTAACACACATGTAAGTGAAAGCTTCCAAAAAAAAGCTTCCAAAAAAATCATAGATTTTTCCACATTTGATAATATGAAAATTCTGTTTTGGCACATTAGTGTCAATAATTATCATAACAATGTAGTTTTGAAATAGAATTAAATATTCAAAATATGTATATTCAGTGTATTTTAATGGTTTATGACACTCTCAATTCAAATGTGTTTAAATATCCTGGCTTTCCCTTTGTGGAATTGATGATAAAATTGTTTACTATGACTACAAGTGTCAATATTCTTGTAATTTTGTAATTTCCCTTTCTGAAGTTAAGTTCCAAAATAGTTATTAGTTCAGAATTACAGGTTGCAGATAAATGATTTAGTTTATCATTAAATAATATATAGTTCTAATGTCTTTTTTCTGAAGAGTCTCTCTAATGAGATATTAAAATTCTGATAAAAAGATTCTCTTGGTAAAAATGCTCTTAAATATTTTCTCCAAGCAATTATATCATTATAATGATATATATCATATTTATCTTCTTTTCTTATCCACATAGAAATGAGTTTTAACTTTCTGTTTTTTTATAGAATCTGACAATTCTTTTTTTAAACAATGGTTTTATTCCATTGTGCCTATTGTAATTTTTTTTATTATACTTTAAGTTCTGGGTTACATGTGCAGAACATGCAGGTTTGTTACGTAAATATACACATGCCATTGTGGTTTGCTGCACCCATCAACCCATCATCTACATTAGATATTTCTCCTAATGCTATCACTCCCCCAGTCCCCCACCCGTCAACAGGCCCCAGTGTGTGATGTTCCCGTCCTTGTGTCCATGTGTTCTCATTGTTCAATTCCCACTTATGAGTGGGAACATGCGGTGTTTGGTTTTCTGTTCCTGTGTTAGTTTCCTGAGAATGATGGTTTCCAGCTTCATCCATGTCTCTGTAAAGGAAATGAAGTCATCCTTTTTCATGGCTGCATATTATTCCATGACGTATATGTGCCACATTTTCTTTATCCAGTTTATCATTGATGGGCATTTGGGTTAGTTCCAAGTCTTTTGTTATTGTGAATAGTGCTGCAATAAACATACATGTACTTGTGTCTTTATAGTAGAATGATTTATAATCCTTTGGGAATGCTATTTCTGGTTCTAGATCCTTGAGGAATCGCCACACTGTTTTCCACAATGTTTGAGCTAATTTACACTCCCACCAACAGTGTAAAAGCGTTTCTACTGTAATTTTTAATGCATTTGGACCCATTACAGATTTATTTTGTTTTTTCTGCTTAACAAATTTTTGTTGATTAGGTTGTTTCTTGTTTTGTTTGTTGTTCTTTTGTTCTCCTGTAATGACGTCTACTGGAGTTTCTATCTGTTTGGTGGTTTTATGTTTTATGCTTTTTGCAATTGTGATTGCTCTTAATTTTTTGCATGTATTTATTACTTCCATGTCAAAACATAATATCTCCTTCTACTTCTCCAACAACGACATAGAATGTTCAAATTTCAGTTACATATTTTGTTTTCTACGTTCTACATGCACTTTCATAATACACCAAGTTATTTTTAAACCTCCAAATAATAATAATTATTGTTATTAGTATTAATGTATAAAGTATATACTTACATTTCTAACATATTTAACACTTTGTTTGCTTCTCTCTGCTTCTATATCCAGTTTCTTCTTCCTGGCTTCAATTTGCTTTTTACTGAACTATGACTGTACTCTATTTATTTTTAACAGATATACTTCATAAAGTTTAAAGTTGATACCTTTACAGTTCTAAACAATACAAAAACCTTAGGATATTTAAACACTAATTACTTTCTCTTTGTTCACATTATTTTTGTCTAGCATTTTGTTTCTTTGTTTTATAAAGTACTTTCCAGATGGGTCCTTATTGCTAAAATCATTTAAACATTCACTCTTGCTTAGACTTACACACATTTATCAATATCTTTGTTGTTGATTGCTTCTATCCCCTTCTTCCTCCCAGTTTGATTTCCTTATTGTTTATGTAGAACCTTTACTGATTTATTTTTGTATTTGATCTTGAATGGTCATTTTTTTCTTCTTTGTTGAATTACCATTTTTTTCTGTGTGTGTGAAGGATTCTAGGATGAATTTTTCCACTATTGTTTTGTTGAAGATATATTGTATACTGGATTCTATTGTTGCTGATAAGCCTGCTATAATTTCATTTAAATTGTCTTTCTTTCTCTTAGGCTTATTTCAGGATTACCACTATGTCCCTTGTGTTCTCTGGATT
This sequence comes from Homo sapiens, assembly GCF_000001405.40. NCBI lineage: Eukaryota > Metazoa > Chordata > Mammalia > Primates > Hominidae > Homo > Homo sapiens. Next base: position 19,811,658 of record NC_000005.10, on the reverse strand, counting down.
GGCTAATATACCTTGGCTCAGATAATTTTTTTCTTTTTATATTTTTTGGTCTGTGTATTTATTTCCTAGAGCTGCCGTAACAAAGTAGCACAAACTGGGTGACTTAAACAGCATATTATTATTGTCTCACGGTTTGGGAAGCTGGAAGTCTGAAATCATGAGGTGAGCAGGATTGGTTCCTTCGAAGGGAAAGATCTGTTCTAGGTCTCTCTCCTAGACAGCCATCTCAGGTTCACACAGTTTTTTTCCTGTATGTGTATCTAGTGTCCAAAGCCCTCCATTTTATAAGAACATCACTGATGTTGGATTAATGACTGCCTTAATGACCCTACCTTACATTGATTAGCCCTGTAAAGACCCTATCTCTTAATAAGATCACATTTTGAAGTATTGGGGTTCAGAGCTTTAACATATGCTTCTTTCTTTATCTCTTTCTTTTCTTTCCTTCCTTCCTTCCTTCCTTCTTTCTCTCCCTCTTTCTTCTCTTTCTTTCTCTCCTTCTTTCTTTCTTTCTTTCTTTCTTTCTTTCTTTCTTTCTTTCTTTCTTTCTTTCTTTCTTTCTTTCTTTCTTTCTTTCTTTTTCTCTTTCTCCCTTCCCTTTTCCTTTCCCTTTCCCTTTCCTTTCCTTTCCTTTTTGAGACAGAGTCTTTTTCTGTCATCCAGGCTGGAGTGCAGTGTCAGGATCTCAGCTCGCTGCAACTTTCACCTCCTGGGTTCAAGCAATTCTCCTGCCTCAGCCTCCCAAGTAGCTGGGATTACAGGCATGTGCCACCATACCTGGCTAATTTTTGTGTTTTTAGTGGAGACGAGGTTTCACCAGTTTGGCCAGGCTAGTCTTGAACTCCTGACCTCAAGTGATCCAACAGCCTCAGAGTCTCAAAGTGCTAGGATTACAAGTGTGAGCCACTGTGCCCAGCCAACATATGCTTTTTTCATATGCACTATTGAGCCCAAGGCAATCTAATATCAGTACTTTTTAATTGATTAAGATTTTTACACCTAATTAGAAAAATATAATTAAGTATATTATATTTACTTAATTACTTAATCAAATATATTTACTTAATCAAATATATTGATTTGCTTTGTTCTTGTTTATTTGAACAATTATTTGAACTTGTTTCATCCTCGTTTCATTCTAAAACTTCTAATTGATATAATTTCTTAAGTTTTATCTCTAATGTATTAATGCTGTCTTGAACTAAATTAAATCATTATCCTATGCTCTTCGAATTAAGTATGAATATTAACTTGAATTTGTCTTAAAATGTCTCTTTCCTTTTGCCTTATTTTCTCCTATTTTATTTTATTTTTATTTTATTTTTTTTGAGACGGAGTCTCACTCTGTCACCCAGGCTGAGGTGCAGTGGTGTGATCTTGGGTCACTGAAACCTCCACCTCCCAAGTTCAAGTGATTCTCATGCCTCAGTCCTCCCGAGTAGCTGGGGTTACAGGTGTGCGCCATCATGTCTGGCTAATTTTTGTATTTTTAGTAGAGATGGGGTTTCACCATGTTGGCCAGGCTGGTCTCAAACTCCTGACCTCAAGTGATCCGCTCACCTCGGCATCCCAAAGTGCTGGGATTACAGGCAGGAGCCACCTCACCAGGCCTCATTTTGACATCTAGTTTTTCTTGCTTCAATTCTTCCAAACCACATAAATAACAGTCTTTTTCAAGTTTTCTATTTTCCGTGTGTGTGCTCGATGTTCCCATTCTCATATTTCCTTTGTCTATTCACTATTGGAAGTGGAGATTTGATCCTGGTACATCTTTAACATTTTTATATTCACTGGTCTCCAGTGGTTTATGATGGGAAAAAATGGGGTTCTTAGTGGAATCCCTTTAAACTTTAACTTGAGAAATATTCATAGAGAGCCACTTATCTTTTTAACTGCTGTCAACAAATGGTTTCATAAATATGGATTTAATTCTTAACTACTGATTCTTATGTATACACTTAATGTAAACAACAACAACACTAAAATATAAAACATATATTTCCTTTTATCTGGGCTGTAGGTTTGAGTTTCAATTTCTCATATGAAACTTTTTTTACCAAGAACTCCTAATAACCACAAAATTCTTTGCTACTTTTTAAAGCTGGTGAGTATATAGTCTAATTTTTTTTTATTATACTTTAAGTTTTAGGGTACATGTGCACAATGTGCAGGTTAGTTACATATGTATACATGTGCCCTGTTGCTGTGCTGCACCCATTAATTTCAGGGAGTTGATTTTAAGTGTTTTGGCTTTCTTCAGACAGCTCCATTCTAATTCTATATCTTAAGGAGAATGAAAGTCTATTTTTTCTAGTCTTCAGGAGGTGTAAAAATCAAATTATTGGTGCCTAGAGCGTGTACTTAGTTAATTTTCCCCAGAGGCACTGGGCTATCTGACAGTTGGGAATGGCCTCCATGTCCCTAAGTCCTCCCTCCCTTCTTTCTCCCCTGGGGATTATCTCTTACTGTTTCTAGATTGCTTGTATTGTATTTTAGTTTGAATTTTTATATACCATTTCTAATTGTTCATAGTAAGAGAAATGCCTAGATCAGCTTTGTCTGCCATTTTTATGGCCACATCTTTCCTCGGGTTTTGTTTTGTACAAAAGCAAGATTTGTATTAAATAATATTTTTAATATCCTTTCTGGATATACATACAGTATTCTTTTATCATGCTTTGATACTTTCACACAGATACAGAGATAAAATTCTAAAATATTCCCAAATATAATGTAGAAATATATATTCCAAAAATTGTTTTTCTTTATAACTAATTGTAGACTGATTTTCTATTTCTTTTCCTTTTTTTTTTTTTTTTTTTTTTTGAGACAGAGTTTCGCTCTTGTCACCCAGGCTGGAGTGGCAGTGGCGCTCTCGTGGCTCACCACAAGCTCCACCTCCCGGGTTCAAGCAATTCTTCTGCCTCAGACTCCCAAGTAGCTGGGATCACAGGTGTGCGCCACCATGCCTGGCTAATTTTTGTATTTTTTTTTTAGTAGAGACAGGATTTCACCATGTTGGCCAGGCCGGTCTAGAACTCCTGACCTCAGGTGATTCACCCACCTCGGCCTCCCTAAGTGCTGAGATTATAAGCGTGAGCCACCGCATCCAGGCTTAGACTGATGTATTTCAACAGGTATTTACTTTAAGGAAATGAATTGTTTTTAACATTGGTATTACATTATTCTCAGAAGGTATGTTCTATTATTTTATTGATTTTTATCCAATGAATGTATGAACATTTAATTGCACTGGACCTCACATAACAAAGACATTTAATTTAAAAGTTGAGCCTAGTGGGCCTTCAAATACATTCAGTTTTATTTTTGTTTTTTTTTTGTTGTTGTTGTTTTGTTTTATTTTTTCTTTTGTAAAGAAAATTATAGGCATTCGTTACAAAAGTTACAAAGTTAAATATAATCAATCATTTTCAGCTAGAATTCTTTGTTTCTTATGCAACATACTTGTCATTATATTCATAGAGATTAAACAATATATGCTATAAAATATTTTTCTACATTAAAAACAAAAGAATAATATTACATATAATAGTATACTAACTTAGTCATGGCCTTTTCCTTGTTTTCTATTGTTTGGTGCTTTAGCTTGACTATAATCGAGTTTATTTTGACAAAGGTTGAATACTATATAGGATATATTCATTTACTCAAAATGCATTTATTTAAAATGCACAGTGACCTGTGTTCCGGTCACTATGTTACACATTGTTTATATAGTAGTGAAAAAAGCAGATAGATTGGGAAAGGTTAACATTAAATTGACATTCACACAAATAAATATTCAAGTATAAACAATGATGAGAATTGTGAAAAAAACTTACTACATACACAGTGTAAAACCTAGATGGAGGATGAGGGAAGAACTCTCTGGGGAAGGAATAATCAGGCTGATATCTAAAAATGAAAATGAGCCAATCAGGGCCAAAATGCTGATGTGTTTTGTGTGGTCATTGGGAATGGATAAGTGTTCGTGGTGGAGAATTAACATGTGTAAAAATCCTGAGATGGAAAGAAGTTTGTGCAGTGAAGGCTCAAAGACTCAGGTACCTGTGGTTTAGGAAAGAAGATGTAGTGAGGAGAGAGAGAAAACTACACTTCTCAGTAGAGCCTCGACATTACAAAGCCCCTTTAAGGAAATAATTGGGGACTTAATATTTGGAGAAACTGAAGACATTGTTTACTTTTAAGAAGGAAAGTAATGTAGTATCAATGTACAGTCATGTGCCACATTAATGGTGTTTCAGTCAATGATGATGGTTCCATAAAATTATAACACTGTATTTTTACTGTACCTTTTCTTTTTTTAATTTTTAGTTTTATTTAAAGTTTTATGTGCAGGATCTGCAGGTTTGTTACATAGGTAAACATGTGCCATGGTTTACTGCACCTCTCAACCCATCACCTAGGTATTAAGCCCAGCATACATTAGCTATTTTCCCTAATGCTCTCTCTACCCCCACCACAAATCCCAACAGGTCCCTATATTTTGTTCCCCTCCCTGCATCCATGTGTTCTTGACAAATGGGATCTAATTAAACTAGAGAGCTACTGTACCTTTTCTATGTTTAGATATATTTAGATACACACACCATTGTGTTAACATTGTCTGTAGTAACCAGTACAGTAACAAGTTGTACAGGTTTTTAGCCCATGAGCAATAGAGAGTATTATATTATATAGTCTTAGTGTGTAGTAGGCTGTACCATCTAGTTTAACTACACTTTATAGGGTTTCCCCAGTGAGGAAATAGGCTAATGACACACACTAAGCAATGAATTACTGTATTTATTGACATATATGTATCGTTATACAATCAGTCTTGCTTCTCTGTGAGCAACTGGTTTCAGGGAAGAAAGGTTTTCAGAAAATCAAATGTAGGTTAATTTCTGTAAAGAGTTAATAGGCAATAGGAAAGAGGGTAGCAGAGCAAAGTTTGCTTACTTTAACATAATGATTGAAGTGACAATACAAGTTTGGGCTATATAATGCATTATGAATTCAGGACAACTCCCCTGAGACATACTTGTAACATGTATTAAGTATCTAGAAACCGAAGAAGGAATATTGAACTAGTATTCTTCAGTTTTTACGATATAAATCTTTGACATTGGTAAATCCAGCCTCCTAGAGCCCAGTTTTATTATGTACATTGATAAGGCGGAAGAACAAGACAAATGCTAAAACCCTATTTCACTTCAAAAGTTGTGGCTTCAACATAAATTTAACTAACAAAATGCCATTTGCTTTGTTAGATTTGGAGATTACATTGATAAAATATGCCGCTGCAATGATTAGTGAAATTAAGACAAGAAGCAGAGGCAGTTTTGTGAAGAAATAATTGTATCACAGTGCTGATAGTGCAACAGCAGTGCTGAACACGCAGGCAGTGGTGCACGAGGAGAGATGCATTTGACTGAGATCAATTTAGGGAAGGCTTTGGAAGAAAAATAACTTGCACTAATATATTTTGCTCTTAGTAGAAAACGAGGCTGGTAAAATGTGTTTGTTAAGAAGGAACTCCAGTGAAATTTTAGGAACTACATATCCAAAGGTTAAATGTGTCACATTCAAGGACAAACAGGGGTAACGGTTGGAGCAGAGTGCATGTGTTAGAAGTGGGCCTGAGAATAATGCCAGAGAACGTGGATGGGTGACTGAGTACAATCCTGGTAGAAGATTCGAAGAAGAAAATAGCTATATGGTTTATCCATAAGTGTTTGGGAATCCACTGGGAGATTACCAAGTGGTAAATGAAATTGTGACATTTAGAACAAGCTTGGCATCAGAGAGGATGCTTTGTTGTTGCACAAATCTAGACAGGAATTTGACAATTGTAGAAGAAATTGAGAGAAGGAAATAGATTGATTAAATATTTTTTAAGATGTAGAATTGACACGACTTTGTGTCTGTTGAAAGGGAAAAAAAAAGGGCTGCAGGACTATTTGAAGGTGGTTGGCAGGCTCCGGCTTGTATTAAAGGACTGATGAGTAAAGGGCATGAGAGTGATGAAGTTATTTGGACAGGCTTCATCTGGGTGTTTTGTGGGCCTGCAGATAGGCAGGTATAGAAAAATGCAAAGTATTACAGAGAGATGTAGGCTAAAGAGTAGCATCAGGAGACACTGGAGTTTAGATGGTAATTGAAGCCATGGAGAAAGAGTTAGGAAAACACATATGGATATCTTATTCAGAATGGAATTCTGAAGAACAAAAACTTCAAAGGGGAAAGAGAAAACTGGGACTTCACAGAGAGTTTGAAATTAAAATTCTGCAGAGGGCGTAGAATCAAGTGGAAGTGAAATCATAGTAGACAAAGGAGAAAGTTTCAAGGAGGACGTGGATAACAAAATCTGATGCTCCAGTGAGAATAATATAAGAATGATATATTTTCGGCTAGAAATGGTGGCTCATGTCTGTGATCCCAATACTTTGGGAGGCTGAGGCAGGTGGATCTCTTGAGCCCAGGAGTTTTGAGACTAGCCTGAGAAACAGGGCAAAATCCCATCTCCTCAATAAATACAAAAATTAGCCAGGTGTGGTGGTGTACGCCTGTAGTCTCAGCTACCTGGGAGGCTGAGGTGGGAGGATCATTTGAACCTTGTAGGCAGAGGCTGCCGTGAGTTGAGATTGTGTGCCATGGGACTTCAGCCTGGGTGACAGAGCCACACCCTGTCCAAAAAAAAAAAATCATAATAATAATAATGATTTTTTTCCATAGCTGATTTTATGCCTAGGTGGCTATTTTCTCCTGAAGAGACTTAGTAATCTTCAGAGGCTGAGCCATATTCAAGAATATTGACTAGTGATAGAAGAAGACTATAAATTAATGGGAATCCATGGATTATTTACTTATTTGTAATAGACGTATGTATCTTCTTCAACTGTTTTAGTCATCGCCCTCATTAATAATCCAGGGCATGTGAAAATTTACATGTTTCTCAACATGCTAATCATCCTGATCTCTTATCTGTTTTAATGATGTTTATATTGGTTAGTAATTTCCTGCTGGCCCTGGAATAAACCATCTGAAACAAGCTTAATAATGGGAAGTAATTTCTGAGCTTATATACCTGAAGAGTAGAACAGGGTGTAGGCACAGGTAGAATCAGAGATACAAATAATTTGATTGGGATTTTGACCAACCCTCGAAAGTGGCAAATTAACAAATTGTGTGAGGTCCAAGTACCTAGATTTACAGGCTATATAGTTCAGTCAGTTTCTATATTTTATTATAGAAAGGATTACCTAGGTATGGGAGAATGTTAAGTGCCCAATAGTTGTCAAGTACACATTTTAGGATTTACTTATTTATTTATTTTATTTATTTTTTTTTTTTTGAGATGGAATCTCGCTCTGTCCCCCAGGCTGGAGTGCAGTGGTGCGATCTCGGCTCACTGCAAGCTCTGCCTCCTGGCTTCACGCCATTCTCTTGCCTCAGCCTCCTGAGTAGCTGGGACTACAGGCGCCCGATGCCATGCCCGGCTAATTTTTCGTATTTTTTCTTTTTTTTTTTTTTTTGAGACAAAGTCTTGCTCTGTCGCCCAGGCTGGAGTGCAGTGGCGTAATCTCCGCTCACTGCAAGCTCCGCCTCCCGGATTCCCGCCATTCTCCTGCCTCAGCCTCCGGAGTAGCTGGGACTACAGGCGCCCGCCACCACGCCCAGCTAATTTTTTGTATTTTTAGTAGAGACGGGATTTCATCGTGTTGGCCAGGATGGTCTTGATCTCCTGACCTCGTGATCTGCCCGCCTCGGCCTCCCAAAGTGCTGGGATTACAGACTTGAGCCACCGCGCCCGGCCTAGGATTTATCTTTTAAGGTAGGTACTAGTTTATCAATCATTTCTAGGTACCAGTTTATCAATCAACGTCTTTTGGTTGAAAACAATTTATTAGCTAGCTTAATCAGAAATATAAAATAAAATGTAAAATAAGAAATGTATTTTATTGAAAATGTAAACATTCTTGCTTTGCGTCTTACTGGATTACCTCGATGAATGACAGTCGACCTGTGCCAAATGACTGAAGTCTGGATTTCAGAATTACTCGCTGGGAAAAGGCTGAATTACCATAATGGGTTTAGACCAGTGCTGGCCAACATAACTGTGCAGTTGTGGTTATGTTGTACATCTGCACTATTACGATAGTCACTAGCTACATGTGACTACTGCACATTTCAAATGTGGCTAGTGCAACTGAGAGGCTGAATGTTTAGATTTCATTACTTTAAATTTAAATATGTGTCTAAGCTATCAGTTACAATATCAGACAGTACTTGTTTAGACTAATTAGGAAGAAAATGTAGCCACATTTGCAAAATGGATCTAAAGCGATGAGTCTGTAAAGGTCACATAAACTCATATGCGTGTGAGACATTATGAATCTAATACCTAACTCTAATATGTAAAAATGTTACGAAGACTGGGAGAGTTAAGTCAGACTCACTTCATCTTGGTTTCAGATAGCATGCATTGTTATTGTTCACTGTATTTATAAATGTGCGAGTTTGTGGAGTATTTGTACCCAAAGGCATGGTTCAGTAGATCACCTTCTTAACTGTAACAGAATCCGGCTCTGAGTAATTTAAGCGTAAAAGTGACTTTTTGGATGGATTTTGAATAGTTTTCACAATTGGCAGAAAGGCCAGTGAGGAAGGGTGAAAATAAAACAGAAACCGAGGGAGGCTGAATAGCTGAAAGTGCAGCCACGCTGACACCTTAGGAACAATTGGGCCAGACCATTGCCCATGACACTTCCGTCACCAGACTTAAACTATTATTGCTGCTACTTCTTTGTTCTTGATAACACAACCGTAAATAATATTTTTCCCTTGGTCTTTGTGTCACTTGGTCAAATTTCAAAGCTCCAGACAAGAGCATTTTTTGGCCCAGCCTAAGTCATGAGCCAGTGATCTGGCAGCTTAAGTAAGGAAGAGGCAAAATCTGCCCCTTGAAGGTTTCATACCAAAAGTTTCACAATAGAGTATTGATTTTTCAAAAGTAAGATGGGTGTACATGAAAGACACACATACACGCACACACACACAAACACATATGCCCAGCATATACCTAGTATAATGCCTCAACTCTTTGGGAAATTTTAACATATTTGAATTTTACTTTGTTATTTTATCTTATCTGTTATGCCATCAAGATATATTAAATATAATTCATTTTATTTTAAAGTAAGCAGCATCTCAGAAGAATTAGAGGTCACTACCTTTCTTTTTTAAACTTACTCCAGTGTCCACCAACCTGTTTTGAAAAAGAGATTTTACTTGTCAGGTTATATATATAAAACTAAAAGTAATGATTCATAAACTTGTTCTGGAACATCTTGTCTGTTCGGTAATTGCTTGTTCAGTTCATTAGCTACTTTGCATGCTTGAGTTCTTCCTATTGTTATATCAAAATTATGAGAAGTATTAAACACATTTATAGTATTTGAGGCAGCATAAACTATTTTTAATTAAAATAAAAGAACACCAAGCAGAAAGAAAATGATATAAGGGAGTCATATATATTTTGCTGAGGATTACATTTCTCTTTTACGTATGATTTATGTTATGAGTTTATGCTAATTTTTTTTACTTTTTAATGTAGGATTGTCATTGTTATGCTTGTTCTTTGAACCCTGTTATTAGTGTTCCATTTAATTAAATTGATGAGGGTGATTTTTCAATTTTGTTACAATTTTAGTAAACATTTAGATAGAGAATGGCAAAATAATATCTAATTACATATCAATTATTGGCACAAACAACATTAAGTAAGTAAATATTTGTATGGTGTTGGGGGGGAACTGTCAATAAGTAATGCAGCTGTGGGAGACCAAAAGCTCTTTCTGGAGAGCTGTTAATTTGCATGTAAGTTGTTTTTTATTCTGCACTTTGCAGCTGTAGTTTTCTTAGTGTCTGTAAAGAATGTTGAAAACAAAGAAATAAGAATATGCTAAATTTGGGCTGATATATTAAAAACAAAGCTCTGATCTGGTGTATATTCCCTTGGGAAAAATATGAATAAAGTATGTGTCTGTTGTTTTCAACCTTGTTTGGATGATAGAATCACATCAAGAGATTTTAAAAAATCCTTATGCCCAAATTATACATTCAGATCAATTAAGTAAGCCAATCTGAAAATAGGACTTGGATATCAATATTTTCTAAAGCTACTGAAATTATACTGAATTGATATGTAACTTTGAGAACCATTGGTCTTTAGACTCATTTTATTAAACAGTATGATATATAAGGGTACCTTGAATAAAGTGACACAGACCTTTGACAGTGTTAGACTTTACTACATTGTTTCAATGACTGACACCTGTAAAATAGTGATTAACGTAATGAAACATACGTGTACTTAGTCTTTTTGCCTGGCTTTGAGTAATGCTGAGGAAGAAATTTCTAAATGAAAATATTCTTTTAAAAAAGATACTGTTAAAGGAAACCAAGGATTTTTTTCTCTACACGTCTTCATGCCACCTCTATTATTGTATTATGTTAATTTCTATTTTCATTGTTGTTGTTCTGAGACGGAGTGTCATTTTGTTGCCCAGGCTGGAGTGCAGTGGCGCAATCTCAGCTCACTGCAACCTCAAGCAGTGAGGCAATTCTCCTGCCTCAGCCTCCTGAGTAGCTGGGACTGCATGTGCATGCTGCCACACCGGCTAATTTTTTGTATTTTAATAAAGACTGGGCTTCACCGTGTTGCCCAGGCTGGTCGCGGACTCCCGAGCTCAGGCAATCTGCCCGACTCGGCCTCCCAAAATGCTGGGATTATTATGAATGTAGTACATGCCTGTCATGGAAAAATAAAATAGTACAGAAGTACTCTCCATTTTTTTTCCTACCATTTTCTACTCAGAGCTCTTCCTTACAGATAAAAACCAACCTATAATAGTTTAGTATTTTTGTTTTAACCAGAGTCTATTTTATCTTGATTTTCTGCTATGGTATGTGAGAATCCAATGGTTTACACAAATCCTACCTCTTTTTCCCTTGTCCTCATAGTGTTTTATCTTTAATTTTATAGTTCTTCCTTTGATTGCCTTTTCAATATATATAAAATACTGATACATTTATTCTTGTCCTCATTAACTAATAGGTTACAATTACTTTCCATTTTTTTGGATGAGGATACAGAAAACCCCTCTTTGGGTTTATAAGACATTCAGATAAATGAGGAGAATTTGAGTTCCCTTCATCACTGACTCCTTCCGTTATCCCAGACATCATAATTAATATTGTTCTTAAAAAAATTACATACATTTTTTTTCCAAGAATAGGCACAATTGTTGGCAGAGGTTTATGACTACGTGCTAAATGCTCTGGTTGGAGACATTAAGTACTTTTTCTATAAATATTTTCCATTAACCTTTATCTTTTAGAGCTATCTTGCCCCCACCTGCCATTATGCTTGGAATGTTTGACTCCTGAGCTTCTCAGGAAAAATGCAAAACAGGTCAAAGAGTTGCACAGCAGAAGCCTTTCAATAGTGTTTTTAAGGATATGGTTTCTTTTATCCTTCTCTCTCTTTATCAATCATTTATTACTTTATTTACAATTTGTCTTTGAGGATCTTATTGAACTATCTATTGTGTTGAGAGCAAACCCTACAAACTTTACTTTGTGGGAAGTTTAAATCTTTTAAATCCTTTTAATAATTTAATGGGACTTTAGAAAGAAGAAAAAAATATAAAGCTTGTGCTCCATCTTCCATCTTGAACAGAAAAACTGGGGAAACTCACATAAAGATGAATGTATCTGTTTGTGTTATAATGCTTCTTGAAAAATGGTAGTTGGTTTGAAAAGTTTGCATGTGCTAAGCATTGGGGCTATCAAGCACATAAAAGATAATGCATGATACGAACCTCATTTTCAGTGTCAACTAGTCACCGATTTTAGCTAACATACTAAACTTCATTGTTCTTCATTGTGTTAGATGTTAGACAACAGGAAAAAAATAATCCTCTGAAATAGTAGTGTAGCAGCAAAGTTATCTTTTTAAAGATTTATTGAGGTATAATAGATATAAAAAAATTACTCCTAGATAATGTATACATTTAAATAAATTTAGACACATGTTTATACCCATGACATCACCACAATCAACAGCAATCAAGTTACTAAACACATTCATCACCCTCAAAATTTTCCTTATGTATGTGGTGTGTGTGTGTGTGTGTGTGTGTGTGTGTGTGTGTGTTGAGAATATTTAACATGGGAACATTCCTGTTAACATGTTTTAAGGTGAACAATACCATATTGTTAACTATAGATACTATGTTGTACAATAGATCTCCAGAACATATTTATCTTACATAATGAAAACTTTATACCCATTGAACAAAACACTTCACACCCATTGAACAAACACTTCACATTTCTCCCTTCCCCCAGCCCATTGCATCCACAATTCTCTTGTATGCTTGTGTGAGACTGAATATTTTAGATATCCCATATAAGTGAAATGATGTAGTATTTGCTCTTCTGTGACTAGCTCATTTTGCTAAGCGTAGTGTCTTCTACGTTCATCCATATTGTTGCTAATGGTGACATCAGCATCATGAAGAGATACCTGCACACCTGTGTCCATTTTGGCATTATTTGTAATACCTAAAATATGGAAACACCCAAATGTCCATTGACAGATAAATGGATAAAGAAAATGTAGTATTAATATATAATAATGTATTGTTTAGCCTTTAAAAAGGTATCTTAATTTATGTTAATATCAGTATAATTGTGTTTACATATGCCATATAATAATGAAATATTCCACCCAATTTCCCTAATTTCCAAAGATATGTTATCATGTCAGGTATGTTTTATAATCTATTTACCTAAAAATCCAGTAATATATTTTAATCAATATTTGAATTAAATAATTAGCGGAATAAAAACACTAAGCTTTAAAACACTAAGATTTATCTTGTAGTTTTAGAATGAGCGGAAATTGATTTTCAACATGTAATATAATTTCAAATTAATTCTGTTAAAAGCATGGAGATAAATGGTAACTTTTTGAGATTTTTTTCTAAAACTTGTTTCATGATATGAAATATGAGGGAAAAAAAGCATTTATTTTTGCTAGAAAGCAGAGCCTCATTTCATTCATACCCCACACACCCCACTACCCAAGTCCAATTCAAAGATAAAAATGCTTATCAGGTATGAGTATTTCCAAAGGTCTGGAAATTCATCACAGATTATTTACATTGTTTCAATTGAGCATAATTTTTTAATGAAGATTTTTATTGAGATAATTGCAAATTAACATTTATTTGTAAAATATAATACGGAGACATCCTTTGCAAATTTTCCCAATACCCCTCATTGGCAATATTTTTCACAACTAGATTTTAAGAGTTTGATATTAGAACCAGGATGTTATCCTTGATAAAAATCCAACAACCTTATTCAGATTCCCCCACATCTCCTTGTCCCATTTTATGTGTATATGTGGGTATTAAATTGTATAATAATGTTATCTACTGCCTAGGTCCATGTATCCCCAACATTATAGTTATGATACTGAACAGTTTCAAAACCACTAGGATCTTTCACTGGCATTTTATAACCATACCCACTAGCAACTTTGTCAAAAGTCAGCTGAAGATATTTGTGGAGTTCTATTTTGGGTCATCTATCCTGTCCCATTAATCTATGTTTCTCTCTGCAACACCACACTGTCTTGTCCACTGTAGCTTTATCACCAGCATTAATATCAAAGAGTAATTCTTATGATTTTCTTCCTCATCAAGAGTGTTTTAATTAATTGAAGGCCTGTGTCTTTCCATAGAATTTTTAGAATAGGCTTGCCTATATTTATAAAAAAAATTCAAGCTGGGATTTCAAAAATCATTGCATTCAACCTATAGATTTGGGAAGAACTGACATTTTAGTCTGTTGTGTCTCCCAGTTAATAAATGTAATATCTTAATTTATTTTGTTTGTCTTTGATTTCTTTCATTAGTATTTTGTAATTTTCAGCATTCAGTGCATAAAACATTATGTGCATGTTTTATTACATGTGGCAGTAGTTCTTTTAGTGATTGTAAATGCAATTGTTTTAATTTCAGTTTTTGAATATTCATTGTTAGTATTGATTTGTGTTTGATGATCTTCTATCCTACCAACTTGTTGAACTCACTTAGTTGTATGAGTTTTAGTTTATTTCTTTGTTTTGTTTTGTTTGTAGATTCATTGGGATTTGCTACATGGAAAATAACATTACCTAAAAATAGGAATAATTTTATTCTGACCTTTATGATCTTTAAGTATTTTATTTTCTTTTTCTGCCTTATAGTTGCACTGAGTAGAAGTTACTAAGTTGGATAAGAGTTACTAGAGCAGACATGTTTTTCCTTGCTCCAAATTGTATTTTGTCCAATATTAATTCAATCATTCCTACTTTTATAAAAAAAAATTTACATGGTATAGTATTTTCCATTATTTTACTTTCAAAATCTACCTGTGTCATTGAATTTGAAGTAATTTTTTTAAAAGCAGCATACAGTTGGATAGTAATTTGTGTGTTCAGTATGCCTTCTCTAATTATTTTATTTAAATCATTTATATTTAAGATAATTAGTGATTAATGAGGAGTGCTATTTTATTATATATCTTACATTTGTTTTCTCTGTTTCTCATTTCTTTGTTTCTTTTTTATGCTATTCTTTGTGTTACGTGAACATTATTAAAGATTCTGTCCTAATTAATTTATTCTGTTTTTGAGTATACTTCTTTGTATATTTCTCACTGTGGTTGCTTTAGGGGTTACCACAAACATAGGTGACTTTTAACCATCTACACATATCAACATTTTACCATTTTGAAGGAAGTGTGAAAGCTTCACTTCCATTTTGGTTCTGTGACTTTCTTCACTTATCGCCTTGGATATCATATGGTGTTTTAATTTTTGTTTCAATATTTAAATATGATAGATAAAACTCATGAAGGAAAGAACAGCCTATTGCATTTTTTCACTTTTCTGCTCTTCCCCTTGTTGCTTCAGTTTCAGTATTCTTTTGTGTGTCATTTCCTTTCTATTTGAAGAACTCCCTTTAGCCAACCAATAAGGTATGTCTGATATCAACAGATCCTTTTAGTTTGCCTTTATCTGAAAATAGTTTTATTTTCCTTCATTCTTGAAGAGCATTTCTGCCACATGCAGAATCTGTAGTTGACAGTTCTACTCTTTCAAAACTTGCAAAATACTGCACCAGGTTTTTTAAGTCTCAATGGTGTTACATGCGAAATCTACTGTCATTTGAATTGCCTTTCCTTTCAGGTAATGCATCACTTTACTCTGGCTGCTTTCAAAAAATGTTCTTTTATATTTTTAGTTTTCAAAGGATTAATTATGTTAAATCTTGTTGTGGATTTGTTTGAATTTAACCTGTTTGGAATTCTCTCAGCTTCTTGGATCTGTAGGTTTTGATTTTCACCAAATCTGGGAAAAAGTTTTCAGTCATTATATCTTTAAAATTCTTCTAGTGTCAGTCATTTTTCCATTTTATCCCAGAATTTTAGTAACAGAAATATTGGACCTTTTTTATTGTCCCTTGTGTCCCTGAGACAGTTTTTCTCTCTGTTTTGCAGATTGGGTGAACTTTATTGTTCTGTTCTCAAGTTAACTGATTCTATTCTGTCATCTCCACTCTACTACTCAACCTATCCAGCAATGTTTTCATTCCTGTTATTTTGTTTTCTTGTTCTATAATTCTACTTAGTTATTTTTAAAATAACTTTTATTTTTTGCTGAGATTATGTATATTTCACTTCGTTCAAAATAAGTTCTTAATGTATTAATGAAGCATTTTTATAAAAGCTACTTTTAAACCCTTGTCAGATATTTCCAGTAATTGGTTCATTGCGGTGTTGACATCAATTGATTATTTTTTTTCATTTAAGTTACAATTTTCTCCGTTCTTGGTATAGTAGGTGATTTTCTTTTTAGTTCCCAGACATTTTTCTTATTATGATAGAAGATTCAGAGTCTTGTTTAAATTAGTCTTGTTAAAGTCTATTTTAAGTCACTCACCAAGTTTAGGTTTAGCATGTGGGGCTTGGCCTAATTTTTGTGGACTGTGATTTAAATGGCAGGGTATTTTCAGTGCCTATATTTATTTCAGTCTTACTAAGTTTATCTGGAGCCACTGGTGCTGCATGATGGCACAAAATGGGTTTCCCTTAGACCATTCTGTGGATGTTGCTTGGTGGAGCCATCATGTGGAGCAATTCCATTACTGCTGAACTTCAGTTTTCCTGCTGTACTTAGACAGAGCTTTCCTGGTGTCCTTGGACAGTCCTTGGACAAGGATGGGGAATCATGACACCACGAAGTCAAACATGCTTCTGGACCAGGATAACTGTTGTCAACTCTTTCCAGACAACCTGCCTCAGTAGTTCTTAGTGATAAAGGAAGTCTCATAATTTATGAAGAAGCAGAATGCTTCTACTGACTGCTTATTCTTGGTGGGGCTCCCAAGCAATATCCCTTGGCAAAGCTGTCATGTTTGCCTGATGTTTTCAGAGACACTTCTGTTTGAAATGGGTAAGCTCATTTCTCTGCAAGAAGCTGAGCTGCCTTTTGCTGTCAGGTTGTGGGACAGGAAACACTAGGCCTGGGTAGCCTTTTTCTGTTGGTTCAGGGGATACAAGATACCCTGCTGCTGACCTATTTCTCCAGACCTAAGGCTGCAAACAAGCATGCCTTTTTCATACCTTTCAGAAATCACTTACATTTGTCCCTTGTGTGACTTCCAGGGTTTATAATTGTACTTGTCAGGAAGGAATAGGGAAAAATGAGTGTATATCATCTTATCTGAACTAGAAGTCTAGAACATATTTCACACATTGAATTATCATATTTAACAGTGTGAAGGTCTTATTTATCAAATTATATCACTGAAGGGGATTTATACCTGTATATTTCATGCATGGCTTTTAAAAAATAAATGGTACTTACATATGCTATTACACACATTATAGGTCAGTTATAGTTTATATTAGGGTTCTACAGAAAAACAGAACCTATAGAATATTAGGGGAGAGAGAGAAAGAGAGAGAGGGAGAGAAAAAAAGGGATCAATTTATGGGAATTGGTTTACATTGTTAATGGAGGCCAAGAAATCCCATTATCTTCTGTCTCAACATTGGAACCAGGACAGCTTGCGATGTCATTCAATACAAGTAAAAAGAACTGAGAATCAGGAGTGCCAATTTTGGAGAGCAAGACTGATGGATGTCCCATCTATGACATAAAGAACTCACCCTTTCTCCATCTTTTTCTTCTATTTGGTCTCTCAATTGATTGTATGGATCCCACCCATGTTGAATTAAGTGCTAATCCCAAATACTGATATAAATACTAATATCTTCTGGAAATACTCTCACAGACACATTCAGAAATAACATTTTACCACCTCTCTGGACATCCCTTAGCCCAGTCAGGATGATACATAAAATTAGTCACCACTACAAAGTTAGTTATATTTCATGATGCAATGCTATTTGTAGGACTATTTCAAATAAAACAGAATTCACTAGATTGTAGTTGAATCTTGATAATTTAACTTGAAATTTTAGAGAGGATATTAATTATTTAATTCATAAATAATCAAATATTTTTCAAGAGGGTATTTCAACTTAAGCCACTTTTTTAGTTGTAGCATCTTGGAACTTAAGATATGGAAAATTATATTACCAAACTTACCATTTTTATACAGGTGATTCCTTCGCACATGTACAGAAGTTTATCTAATCCTTCTCTTCAAATTGTATATCTATAGAGATTAATCCTCTCCCAGAATATATTGAAGCTGGAGTCAGGTTATCTACCCTCCTTCCATAACCCCTTATTCTCAGATCCTCTCTTACCTTTCAGGAGTACAGTACGAGGACCTTGGTTTTTATTTGTTTTATTGTCTATCTTTCCAAAGGCTAAGCTGTACATATTATATCTGTTCTCTGTCCTTCTAAGTTTCACTCATTAAACTCTTCATTTTCTTGTTTCTAATAGCAACAAAATCCACAATTAATTTTACGGTGTAAAAGGCAACTGGAAAGATTGTATTCTAAAATTTGTGTGAGTAAGCCGTGGTATGTTTCACTCCTGGCATCCCTGGACTATATCTGATTTCCCATAATAAAATACAGTGTACATTTAATAATGAACCTTATGATCACCTTAGCTCTGGGGCAACAAATATTTGCTTCTGATGCAGTTCCAGGAATATTGATAAAATGACTTAAAACCCTCTTAATAGATTACAGATTGTTCCATACAACTGCTTTAATGGTTATACTACTTATTTTGAAATTAGAAAAATGTTAATTACTGGTGACTACATTAGTTTAGCTCTAGGCTTAAGGTGGGTAATAAGTGAAATATTTTTACCAAAAAAATAACAGCCCTGAATCACTATCTGAACTTAGATTCCTTTATCCAAGTTAAGTACTTTGTCTTTAGAAGAAAACAGCAAAATATTGGTAGTAGGGTAGGTGAAGATTTATAGAATTGCAGGGTTTTCTGTCATAGTAGAAGGAGGAGGAGGAGTATTAGCTCTAGAAGAACAGGCATTATCATTCATTGATTACCCAGGGTCAGACTCTAATATCATCAAATTATTTCACTGTCCCAAATGCCAAGCTATAAAGGCTATGACAACAATGGTAATATATTTGGAAGAATCATGCTTGCTATCTAACGTAATCACAAATGCCTCTGTGCCTAGTCGTCTAAATAACTTGTCCTTCTTCTAAAGTAGAAGTAAAGTTCTACCATAGCTAGTTTATCTTTATGGAGGAGTATAAAAAATGTTGGTCTGCACTAATGTACAGTTTTTTTGTATGTTATTTATAAGTCTATATTCTGATACTTTTTTCATGCTTTTTGCAGTTGTTTAACAAATAAAGTTGTCATCATTCATTAGTGGGTCAGATTGCTTTGGTGCAATGACAATACTTCTAAAAGCCCTGTAACATAAAATTACCTTTATTTCTAATTGAGTTAGGATTCTCCAGGGAAATTGAACCAAAGTATATATGGATCAACAGATAGATAGATAGAAAGATGGATAGGTAGGTAAGAGGAGATTTACTGTGGGAATTTGCTCACATGATTACGGAGACTGAGCAGTCCTACCATGTGCTGTCTGCAGGCTGGAGAACCAAGAAAGCTGGTGGTGTCATTTAAACCTAGTCTGAAGGCCTGGCAACTAAGCCAGCCAACAATGTAACTCCTATTCCAAGTTCAAAGACTTGAGAACCAGGAAAGCTACTGGTGTAAGTTACGAAGCCTGAAGGCTCAACAACCAGGAGCTCTGAGGTCGGAGGGCAGGAGAAGATGAACGCCCCAGCTCTAGAAGAGAGAGAAAAAATTCACCCTTCCTTTGCTTTCATTGTTCTATCTAGACCCTCAAAAGATGAGATAGTGCCTGTCCACTCTGGGGAGGGGGATCTTTTTTACTCTATCTACTAATTCAAAAAAACATTCTCATAGACACATCTAGAAATCATGTTTTATCAGCTCTGTGGGCCTTCCTTAGACTAGTCAAGTTGACATGTAAAATTAACCATTATATCAATCAATTAAAACTCAGAAACCTAACAGGTTACTGCTTACCTATCATCATATGTGGTAAAAAGAAATACATACATTTTAAATTTGGTAACATTCTTCTAAAAAGTAGTCTGTTGTGGAACACTGTGTAATAAAGCAAAAATGGAATAAGAGCTATGGAAAGGTGGAAAAATGTCTTACTGAATTTTTCAGAGAATTGACTTACTTCAGCTAGTGTAAATGAATAAGTAAATCCATTTCTTTTCCTCCTATTTCTGTCACATTTCTTGTGAGAATCTGATTCACATTCGGAGTTTGAAATGGAAAATAAAAATAGAGCACTGTTTGTGTCAGATAATTACTTTCCAAATTCTGTAACTGAAAGCCAGTTGGGACTGGAACTGTGTTTTTGTTCCTGTGAAACAGAAATTCTGTCATGTGCAGCTACAGGATTTGACTGATATTGCTAGAAGTTACCTTTCCACTCAGCGAGCATGAGTGACTAGTTCATCCAGTTACAAGTGATGAGAAAGCTGCTAAAGGAAAGATATTTCCAGAAAGTTAACATATCCTTACATAATACAATTATATATGTAATACATTTCTTATTTTGAATTTGCATACAACTTTATCAAGAGAAATCTTTTTTCTTTCTGCCCCTACTAAATATGTGCTGAACAGATGTGTGTGTGTGTGTGTGTGTGTGTGTGTGTGTGTTTAAAAGTCGAATTGCAAGAATATCATTAGGTTTCCTAGGAGCCCACACATCTGTGTTCCGTGAGTACCTGCTCAGTGTCATGTCTCTGGAATTTTACACATATTAATATTTACTACCACACGCACTGCCACTCTCATTTTCAAATGAGGAAGCCAACTCTTTAGATGTGCTCTGGTGCCGACTGAAAGATTTATGTTTCTAATCTCAAACTCTTTCATGAGCTTCTGATTCCTGTAGTTAAGATAGACAGTATACATACTTGGAGGCTTTGCTGCAATCTCAAAATTAACCTGAACAAAACTGGACTCTAAGTCTCTTCCCAGTGACTCATATCTGGTTTCCCCACAGCCTCTTCTTTTCAGTAATTACCCTTCCATCCAGCAGGTGTTCAAGTAACACACCTGAGAATCGTTCTTGACACCTCCTTCATGCTCACCTCTCCCTAAACCCACTCTGTTAGTGAGTCTTGTCAGCTCCTCATCTGAAATGTATCTCAAGTCTGTCTGGTTCTTTTCAACCTTCTCCACTCTAATTTATTTGCCATCATTTTTCACCTGAAACACTGCAATAGGCTCTTAATTGGTATCCCCTTTCCCCTGTGCACCGTATAAACTCTTCCTTATCCAGCATCCAGATTGATCCTTTATAAACAGATACCTGGTCTTGTCATTCTAGCACTTAAAATCCTTCAGAGGCTTCCAAGTGCATCTAGATTAAACTCCAAATCCTCAACACAGATGAAGCAACATGAACCACTACTCCTTTTAGCTTTTACAGCTCTACTTTCTCTTTATCTCTTCTCATAGACACTCCTACTGTTACTTTATAGAATTTACCAAATTCATATTTTAATTATCTATGTGTCAGCAGCTGGATTCATCACTAGATTCTAAATCGCTTAAATGCACATACAATATACCTTTCGTTCATCATTATGCCACTGTATAGACAGCAAATAGCCAAGCACTCGCACATAGTATATAATCTAAAAATCATTAAATATATAAAGGAAGGAAGGAGTGAAACAATTTCAAAATTTATACATGCAGTAATAAAAAATCAGAATTGAAAGTGCATCCTTGTCTCCATTGTTTGTGATGTCATCCCTTATAGTATGTTGACTAGGAAAGTTTAAGAAGATTAGATTTTTGGAAAACTAGAAAGGTTTAGAGAGAAGCATAAAAAAGTCTCTTGATAGCAGGGGTGTTATGAGCATATAATGAGCCCATGAAGGAGCTTGAAATAGTCGAAACCAAATATAGTGCAATGAGTCCTGTGATGGGGACATTTATATATGTGGTATATTTATATATGTGGGGACATTTATGTATGATGGTATATTTATATATGTATTACATGTACAAATGAATAATAACGATGGTAATTATGTTTACTTGTGATATATAAAACTGTATATATTATTTACATACACATTATATTATGTATAAAATGTATACAATATATACACCTGTATTATATACTGTATATTCATTTATTATTCATATATGTAATTACTACTATTGCTTATTGTTTTTACTCACATTGCTAATTTATAACTCTAGATAGAGCTTTGAAACAAGTACTACTATTGGCAAACATCAATTCTAAGACAATAACTTCAGCAGTTCAAAGAGTGGGAAAAGGCCAGTGAGCTTGTGCTTTTTCTATAATTTTTACATATATTTATTTGCAATAGAAGTTCATATTGTCTTCTCTTCTTGCCTATTTGTCAACTTTATATTCTTAATAATTGACGTATTTTTTGTCATCATCAAAGGGATATTGCAAGCACTTTTTATTTTGTTTTGTCTATAAGATGTAGCCAAGTTCTATTGACTTATTTTTCTGTTTCCTTGACTTTTGGTTTCTACTTGATTAATGGCTGCGGAACATGGAAGAACTGAAATTATAAATTTGAGTTATTACTTCAGTTATAAATTATTAACAGTCACTTCTAGTCTAACATTTGTTGAGTAATTATCATATGCAAGGCATTATTCTAATTCCTTCATATGCATTAATTCATATCTATCTCATTGAAACACTTTGAGGGATGTAGTACTATTATTTTTACTTTACAGATAAAATAACTGACGCCCAGTAAGGTTAAGTAACTTGCCTAAGGTCGTACAACTTACAAAGAAAACAGTCAGCTTTTGCAGACATGGTGTAGCTTCACAGCCCTAGGAGATTAATATTTTGTAAAGGCAATTGCCCTGTGACAATTAGTGGGGAAAGAACAATCATCATTTCAACTTTACAACACTCCAGACTGTTCCCTTAGATGCTTGAACTCCAGTGAGAATACAGAAAGGTGGAGAAGATGGCATGCATGCTTCATGTATAGGCGGCTCTTCCCTCAAAAACAAGCTCTTTGCCCTTGAATGCAAATTTACTGACACCCCAAAAACAATCCCCTATCGCTAACTAATAAGGCAGCAACTGCTAAAACCAGAGTTAGGGAAAATAGAAGAGAAAGGCCATGGTGAATGCTGGGATATGAATCTATTTAAAAAATCAATTCCTAAGGGTTCAAACCTCCTTTAACAACAAGTCACCATTTCAAATTGTTACTATAATGTATTGGTATTTAATGCCATTCATGTAAAGGAGGGCATAATCCTTCATTAACACCATTGAATGTTTTGGATATTTTCATTATATAAAATTATGTGTCTTCTATAACTTGAGTACTGGACATCAATCTTGTCAATGATAGAACACTAATATGTAATCTGGTAAGAAGCCCACCCTATGAAAGCCAATAGGACATATGAGATGGATCTCATAGGCAGACATGCTAAGGGCAAGTTTGAGTGGATATACATTATGGCAAATTAACAGCATCCGTTTCATAGTCAAGTGAAATATGCAACTAGCCCAGAATATATTCTTAGATTAAAATGTTGTAAGAACCTCACATTCCATCAACTACATGTATTTTTTAATTCCTTTCTCATTAAACACTTGAAGTCTCTTTATCATGTGGAAACTAATGATATAAATGAATTAGCTGACACAAATGTCAACAAATCTTTTGCATGAATGAATTCTCTTTTTTTGTTTCAAGTTATCTCCATCATTACCATCTTGAAAAGTCAGTCTATGTGTGCTTCATGTAGAAAAATTCCAACATTTACTGTAATTGCTTAATTACCAGTTCTCAGCACCTTAATAATAACAGGACATTTGAGGATTTGCAAATAACAACAATGTCTAATTTTTCAGCTGCTTATTCACACCCTATTATAAGCAAAATGGCAAACACATGCAACAGGTTTTCCCATCAGCATTAGTTAATTTTAGGCAGAGGTTTTTATAGATCCAACAAAGTAAGAAAGAGAAAGAGAAAGAAAAGGGGGAGAATACTTTCCACAATCTGGTAAATATTAATAGGTGCTATTATTTTTATTATCCAATAAAAATAAATATTACTTATCTGATATACTTCTGAAGGAGTTAATTATTCTTTCTTCAGTGGTTTTATAAGTATATATAGACATGTATACTTATATATACATGTAAACATATATATATATATATATAACTGTAAATTACTGCTATTCATTGGACACTTGGTGCTGGCGTCTTACATCCATTATTTTTTTAAATTCTATCTTGGATTTTCATCTGATTTTGCTTTTGTACTTGGTTTCTCTCTCTTCTTGCTTGATTTGTTTACTTTGTTTAGTTGTTTATTTATGTCTCATGATTAACTTTTATCTTTTCTGTTTGTTATGTGGTCTTAGATCCAAGCTTGGGTCACAATAGCTTAGTCTTCTTATATGCACATGTACCTTCCTATGGAAACACATGCATATAGTTTCAGATAACTATAAAAATAATGCTGTTTTATATTAAAAGATTAAAAGACTTGCTCATACATTAAACAATTTTTTTTTTTTTGAAACAGTCTCGCTCTGTTGCCCAGGCTGGATTGCAATGGTGTGGTCTAGGTTCACTGCAACCTCTGCCTCCCAGGTTCAAGCGATTCTCCTGCCTCAGCCTCCCTAGTAGCTGGGACTACAGGTGCGCACCACCACGCCCGGCTAATTTTGTATTTTTAGTAGAGACAGGGTTTCACTTTGTTGACCACGCTGGTCTCAAACTCTTGACATTGTGATCCACCTGCCTTGGCTCTGCCAGGCACTGTCCTAATTTGATATGTACAAAAATAAAATGACTCTGAGTTCAGGCCAAGGCAAAGATATCTCAGAGTTGTGGCATAGTTGTGAAGAGACAGCTAGCTCTCCACAAAGATTCTTCTTCCTTTCTATAGAGGTACCTTCTCAGCGGGCATTTCCCAGTCCTACTTCTAGTTGTATCAGTTTCTCTCAAATATCCCGTCTGTAGGGGATCTTGTCCTCTCTCATTTCTTTCTTTGGCTTGTGAAGTTTAGTTTTCAGCGAAGGGTCTGGACATCCTAGAGGTTAGCAATACTGCCAACGTGGAGGCAGTTGGAACAGAATCCATTACTGTACAACCCCAGAGCCCCTACCCCAACACCCCCCCAGCCATGCCTAGCACACAGACACTGGACTTTGTGTAAATTAGAAGAACTAAAGAATGGCTTTCTGGTGGTAACCTACTAAGATTCTAGGATTTTCTCTAGGTGCACATTAATACTGTGTCCAATGTAAAATGTGTGGTTAAGTGTCAGGTCAATGAAGAGTGTGGTGAGGACATGGAAGAATTAGAGTTCAAATATATATTATCAGGAACATTGAAGGATGATGCTTTAGAACAAGTGAAAGCCTATTCTATGATATTATTTTTATCTTTTAGGTATAGTACTCTGTATATTCAAGGAAGCTGATTGAAGATATAGATCAATATCTTGTAGAGCTGATTTATCCATATTGGGATAGCAGCCTTAAAGCTCATTAATAAATTAGAAAATAATATTTTCACTTCAGTAGTTTAGCCTAAAAATGGAGGTGAAGCAATTACTTTATTTCTCTAAAACCAAATACAAAGTAAACTAACATATCAAATAGCAAGTTTGGGGTGCACTGCTTTTAGAAATAAAAAAATTGAATATTCATTATTGTTGAGTTATTGGACTTTACTGAAATACAAAACCAGAAATTGAGAGGCATTATTGCTGAGTTTCTGGACTTAAATATAAAATTATTCATTATTGCTGAATAGAAATGTGAGAACTATGTTAGTGATGGCATGCTACCATATAAAGATTTCTATTCATGCTATTCATTTTCATATCATAAGTAATATATGCATTCATTGTAGGAATGTTTTTAAATTGCAGAAATAAAATGAAATAATAATTTGTAAATCACCTTTTGTACCATTTCAGAAATATGTCTCGTTACTGTAATCCTCCTGCTGCTTCAAAGTTCAATAGTTGGCCTAATTTTATTTTTACCATCACTTCCCTTGTCTCTTTTTAATCAGTCATTCAATTTAATAAACATTTACTGAACATGTAAATTAAATTAGTTTTAGTCTTTCAAGATTTTAACAATAACTACCATTTATTCAGTGTCTACTACAGCCTAAGATAAGTGTTTTTATGTATTATATACATTTTATTTTATATGTCACCTTATTTAATCTTCATGAAACCTCTATGATCTACCTATTTTATTCTGCATTTTACAGATGCATGCATATATATATATATATATATATATATATATATATATATATATATATTTTTTTTTTTTTTTTTTTTTTTTTTGAGACAGAGTTTTGCTCTTGTTGCCGAGGCTGGAATGCAATGGCATGATCTCGGCTTACTGCAACCTCCGCCTCATGAGTTCAAGCGATTCTCCTGCCTTAGCCTCCTGAGTAGCTGGAATTACAGGCATGCACCACCATGCCTGGCTAATTTTTTGTATTTTTAGTAGAGACGGGGTTTCTCCATGTTGGTTAGGCTGATCTCGAACTCCCAACCCCAGGTGATCTGCCCGCCTCGGCCTCCCAAAGTGCTGGGATTGCAGGTATGAGCCACCGCGCCTGGCCTACAGATGCATATATTGAGTGGCTACTATGTGCTGGGCAGTGTACTAATTGTGTAATTAGCTTTATGTCCCTCAACCTGAAAAATATTATGTGATGGATCAGTCCTGAAAGCTAGAGACATGTATTCATTTAACAAATATTTATTATCTCATATTCTATGACAGATACCATTCTTTTGTAGACTAAAAACTCAAACTCCATAAAATATTTAAAGAGGTTTACGTTCAGCCAATATGAGTGACTATGTACCCAGGAATAGTCTCAAGAAGTCCTGAGAATGTGTGCCTGAGGTGGTTGGGTTACAGTTTGGTTTTATATATTACAGAGAGGAAGAAGAAAGGCATGACATCTCCAGGCTCCAGGACTGGGGGACAGAAGCTTACAGGTCATTGGTGGATTCTAAGATTTTCTCATTGATAGTTGGTTGAATGAGTTAAGATTTGTGTAAAGACTTGAAGTCAGTAGAAAAAAATTGCTTGAGGTAAGATAAGGTGGGTTGTGGAAGCCAAGGTTCTTCTTATGTGGATGAAGCCTCCAGGTAGCAGGCTTCATAGAGAATAGATGGTAAATGTGTCTTTTTAGATTTTAAAAGGTGTCAGACTCCTAGTTAGTCTCTCCTAGATCCAAGAAAGGCCAAGAATATTTGCAAGCTCTAAAAAATGAAGTAAGATTACTTTGCTAGGTTTTAAATGTGGAATATAAATTGGGAATTACCTGCGAGAGCTATTTTGCAGTATTTAATAAAGTTATAGATTCTCATGTTCTATAATGTACTTGTAAGAAAAAAATCACATGTACACAAGAATGAATGCATAAAAAATTTCAAGCATTGTTTTATAGCAAAAAAATTGAAACAAAGAAAAGGAGATGGAATTTTAAAAAAGTGGCATGCCTGTGTAATAGAATGTTATATAATAGTCTTGTTACAGCAAAGATCATATCTAAGAGTCTAATTTTCATGTCTCAACATGCCCAATATCGGAAAGATAGTGTTAACTAAAAATTTCAAGTTGCAGAAAGAGCTACTTTGCCAGATCATGGTAAGAGGATTTCTTGTTTTCTAGAACATAAGAATCTAACTTTTCTAGATGATTCCAAGTTATCATCTGTTCTACAAGTTTTGAACATACTCATAAACTGTTTGAATTTTTCCCTCTTCTTATTTTTGTGTATATTTTTATTCATTTAACTGTATTGTAATATTTAAAAAACATAGGCTATACATTTCTAAAAGCACAATTTTGCTCAAAAAGTTGTCCAGTTTTTTGCACATGGCATATAACTAAAATGTATTAAATGAATTATGGAATGAAGAAATGAATTTACTTTTTTGTACAAAATTTTAAAATAAAATGTTTTTACTCATCTATAAAATGAAGAAAATAATATCTACCTATGGGATTTTTGTATATAAAGGGCAGAGGAATGTATCAGGTACAGAGTAGGCATTCAGTAAATAATACAGGGCATTTTAATGTTGGTAATATAATTTAAAGTGTGTAGTAGCCACTACTAGTCATGAAGAGTTTGTATGAGTCCCATGTTCCTATAGTAAATGTTTTCTTGTCTTATAGAATATAAATGAGAATTAATAGTTAGTACTCAATGTCAGACATTGTATTAATGTTTCAGGATAATCATAACACATGGAGATGAGACTCCACCTCATAGCAAGCCCCAACGAAAGACACAAATTGTTCCTTAGAAAATGTAGGGAGGGAAGAGGGTAGAAACTACAAACCACATATGTCCCCATGTGGTGACAGAGGTTTCCTTGGGAGAAGGAATGTTTGGCTTTATCATCCAGGAATTCCTGGTTGAAATAAGTTTAGAATATAACAGCAATCACTAGTATGCTCAGGTGACTATGAGATGCAGTTATTTAAACTCCTGTCAGGCACATTTTTCTCACTTTTGATGTTTGAAAGCAGAAAAATGTAATATATTAAAATGGAAATATATGAGTTTTATAAATATTAATTGATGTCCTTCATTATTTTATTCTGTTTGATCCATTCTTTCCACATCCACAGCTCTCTGCAGAACCCATTTCAGAGAGGTTAAGAGAC
Organism: Homo sapiens; assembly: GCF_000001405.40. Classification (NCBI taxonomy): domain Eukaryota; kingdom Metazoa; phylum Chordata; class Mammalia; order Primates; family Hominidae; genus Homo; species Homo sapiens. The sequence goes on along the minus strand of NC_000005.10, from coordinate 19,783,301 downwards.
TTCTTATCTAATTGTACCTTATTAATATTTGGTGGAACTGGGATGTGAAAAGAAGCCTATCACAATCTCAAGTTCATGTTCTTTCCACTGCTGTATCTTGCCTCGTGTTACATAATAGTGCGGCAGATTAATTTCTAATTGTGACACATGGACCAGCAAAAAGGCTTTATCAGGATTTGTTCATGTTAATTAGGCAGAAACAAAGTTAATGCAGCTTAGAGCAGCAAAGAACTTTCATTCAAATACATTTTACATCTGTGAAACAGATGTCATATTTAAAAGTCTCAGACTACACAAAGTATTAAACTTCTCCCAAGGGTAGAGAGACATTTGGTGAAATCAAATACTTTATATCCACAAATATTGATATATTATTGCTTTGTGTAGGCCACACAAAATAAAAATCTAGTCCTCATTAGCTTTTCTGATATACTGAGTAATGTCTTAAGTTGTAGAAAGATTTAGAATGTCTTCTCCATGCAGAGTTTTTATCAAAACAAGAAGAAACATTTACATCATGAGCAGTGGAATTTGGCCAAGCATACCTAAGAATTAGGGAGTATTGCTATCATTCTCATTTTACAGTGCAGGAGACAAATCAGAGTCTAAGCAACTCCTTCCAAATCACAGCATAAATAAGTCTAAGTGCGCTCATGTAAATGCAGATATTCTGCCACCAAAATTAGGCTCCTAATCACCATCGTGCTGCCCTGACTCCATTGTAGACTAATTTTTCCTTAAGTATACGTCTTTTCATTACATACATTTGAATTTGCTTTTCTCCACATCACAATCCACCAAGCCACACTACACCACACAGGAAAATCCCTTTTGCCTTACTCCTCTCTGTGGAAAAGTGTGATATGGTTTGGCTCTGTGTCCCCATGCAAATCTCACTGTGAATTGTAATCTCCATAATCCCCACGTGTCAAGGGCGGAACCAGGTGGAGGTAGTTGAATCATGGGGCTGTTTTCTCCCATGCTCCCCTCATGATAATGAGTGGGTCTCAGGAGATCTGATGGTTTCATAAGTGTCTGGCATTTCCCCTGCTTGCACTCATTCTCTCTCCTGCCACCCTGTGAAGAGGTGCCTTCCACCATGATTGTGAGTCTCCTGAGGCCTCCCCAGACATGTGGAACTATGAGTAAATTAAACGTCTTTCCTTTATAAATCACCCAGTCTCTGGCAGTACTATATAAAAGTGTGAAAATAAATTAATACAGGTGTGTTTGCTTTTTTTTATTTTTGCATCCATATATCCCTATTATATCCCATGTTAGTCTAACACTTAAATTGAAAATAGATTTTTTGGCCAGAATATATATTTTTCTTTCCAGAAAATAAATGATTATAAAGCCAAAGGGGAAATTGATTTACTGGATAATAGAAATATGATATCCATATATGTTAATTAAGGATGCCTTTGACACAGCAGAAATTATCCAAAAATTATGGATGTCAAAAACTTAATGTTTTCTCTCACTTTTCATTCAAGACAAGGGACTGCCACCAATCTTCCCTTCTCCATTATTATTGTGTTTTCCATTTCCACCTGAAATTCTCTCTGGACTCAGACTATTGTGAGTGTTTAATTTGTATGCTAGAAACTCTAACGTTGAGAGAGAAAAAAATATGAAAATACCAAATCATTTAATAATCATTCTTTACTCAGTAATAAAATCTTATGTTAAAGTGGTTTCAGTAAAATATAGTTTTATATAATAAAAAAACCCCCACAAGATTAGTTAGAACTTATTCCTCAATAATTTTAACTCTTACATAGTGCCTGGTTTTGGGAAATTTCAATACTGCTTACACCTGCTCTTTGTTGTTTTCTCTTTTGTTATGATTATAATTAATCTTTCAAGGAGTACACTTGTAGGTCATACACATATTTCCATTTTCTAATATCTTTTGTAGGGCTAGTGGTACATTTTTTTTTGTACTTACATGTAAATTTTAAATGAGTGTTTTTTTTCTATGTGATTTTATTTCATACAGGAATTGAGAAAATTAAAAATGTCAATACTCTTACAATTGCATTCATCTTTGATGATTGCAAATAATTTGCTGTTTTTTTCTTTGCAATAACAATATTCACTTTATGTATGCTAATGAATGATACATGATTTACTTTTGGACTATGGGCCTATATTTAGCCATAATTAATATCGTGAAAAATATTAGTGAACAAACTTTTAATTGTAGTTTTAAATTGGTTATGGAAATAAATCTGGCCTTACGCATATTAGATTCATTGGAATAACACATTTATTTGTGAGTTTTTCTTTGCTTCTACAGGCGTTTTAAATATTTGACTTGCTGTATTTAATTTCATATTATTCTATAGGAAACCACTTCAGCAGGCCTTATTTGATCACCTGTGGCATTATTCTTTGCTAAGAAGTATAGGCTCCTTTCTTAGTGTTACAACAGTTTCCATTACCAAACCTTTGTCCAAAGCCAATAGAAAATCTGACTTGAAAGTAAGGAGGCATTATTAAAAATCTGAAAATTGTGGCCATATACAAAAGTTAAAGGAGGGAAAAAATATAATAAAACTAGAGGAAAATATAAATACATTTTGTCTCTAGTGAATTTGCAGCTGGTATTGGAAAATCATTTTGCTCTCAGGGAAGGTTTTGAAGCAGAAATGAAAAAAGAATCAACATGAACCAGGCTGTGATGTTCTGCTGTCTGGGAGATTAGATAACCAAGGGGGAAACAAAAGTGTCTAGAAGCAGTGTAAAGGATTTCCAAAATATTTTTTTTCTTGTCCTTTTTTGTTCCTAATTTAGACTAAACAGATATATTTAAATATTTTGTGAACAATAATGTAGAAGAAAGTGACAGTAGGATACAATGTATTGATAAAATCAAAACATAAAATTAACATGTGAAAGTAAGTGAGATGCTGATTTTACAAAGAATGGAAAAATGGTGTCAGGAAAGATACTGGCATAATAAGGACTCTTTTCTGTCTCTTATCGACAAGGAAATACATAGACAATTAGATTTATACAGTTAGGTTCAAGATCTAATACAGCAGGTAAGTTTGTATCCATAACCGTGTTTAGTTAAATGATGAATACTTTCTGTATTTGTGAAGGTGGAGGTGCTGTATAAAGACATGAATGACTTCAGTTGAAGTTATGCACTCTTCTGTGGATGGAGCTCACTATATGGAATAAACAGATACTGCCCTATTCTAAGAAGGTTCTAATGAAGGGTACATTAAGCTAAGAAGGTTACATAAGGAAAGACATTAACAGGCCCTTCCTACATACTTGCCAAGAATGCCTGAATTCTTAGCATGATATATAATTTTAAAATTCACATTGTTATATGGAAGCATGTATTAATTCATATATTATTCATATAAAATGGACTAAACTTGTTAGTCTATGTCTTATTTTGAGGCCAAATGAACATGGGTTCAAATATGAGCCACTTGTTATTGGCTATTTGACCCTGATGAGAGACTGCTAGTCGTACCCAAAGTCTCATCGCCAACTGTTGAACATTTTAGTAATAACATCTTCTACACACTTGTCTGTAAAGAAGCCCTATGCAGCCTTCTATGTAGCTGTGTATAACCATGACCAAATTTTACCCACTGGGATGTTGGTGTAAGTAAGATGTGCAACTTTGGTACAGGACATTAAGAAAAAAACTGTGGCGAATTCTGAATTCCTTCCACTTTGTCCCTGTTTCTTTTTCTCCCTCTTGGCTGGAACAGAGCAAAATCAGCAAAGAAAGTCCTACATCCAAACATGGAAGCCATGAATTGAGGATAGCAGATCTGCCTTGGTAACAATAGATTGCTTACCACTGCTCTCTAATGAGAGAAAGAATTCAGCTTCGATTGTATTTTACTGTCTATTTGTTACAATAATTTATTCTCCACTTAAAACAATAAACTAACTCAATTTTCTTAATGTCTCCACTATTAGGTTTCTTCATTAGAAAAAATAAAAGATAAAACCAATTTACAGTGTTGCAATAGTTAATCTGGGACATTATTCAACTTATATTCAGTGATTATTCTATAAAATTAATATTATAGATGTACACATTGTAGAATCCTTAATGTGAGTCTCTGTCTGCTATTAACTTGTTGTCCTACCTCGATCAGATTATTGATCTTTCCATAGTCTCAGTTTTCCCTCTATTAAATGGCATAGTATCTACCTCATGTATTAATATAAAAATTTTTAAAGTATTCTCACATATATTATTAAACTTATTTTATATAATGCAAACTGTATTTTATTCCTAGCCAGGTGGATGAAATCTTGTGTGTGTGCAGAGACATCATTTGTGAAAGAGAGTTTTGAATATCCTTCCTGGCCAGTAAACGAAGCCAGCATCAGATCTAGTGCAAGGAGGAGGTATCTGAGCATAATACATGTAGAAAAAGGAAACAGGGGCTGCAGAGCTAGGCTAAATTTCCTCATATTCTCCTGTCCAGGGATGAGATATCAGCATGAGGAGATGGGCTCCTATTGGCTATCCAATTCATGAAGGAACAGGGAAAGCCTTAAATTTTTTTTTATTATGGTTTTGTGGTGTCCACTGTATTTTTTGGGTCTCCATCCAAAATTGTTCATTAGTTTGACTTTGCACAATAAGAAGAGTCCATATCACATGGTGACAGTTTCCTGAGTCTTGTTTTAAGGCTGGTAAAGAGGAAAACCAGAGATTATTTATGTAGTAGGTCTATCTTTCTAATTTTGTTTATTTGTTACTAGGATACAGAGATACAGAGATAAAATCATTTTTCATCTTGATTATGTATTCCATCATCTGGCTAAGGTCATTTATAAGTTCATATAGTATTTTTGTAGATTGAATACAATTTTTACATAGGCAGTAGTATTTGTGAATTCAGGTAGTTCTGTTTCTTCTTGTCTGATAAAGACACTGTTAATTCATCTTTCGTTTTAATTTCTTGGCTAAAACTTCCATCAAAATATGAAATACAAGAGGTGAAAGCAGATATCTTTGTTGTGTTTCAGATATTGGCTGCGGGGAGGGAAGTTCAGTCTCCCATATTTAATCATGTAGGTTCAATGTAGTTTTTTCATAGATGCCCTTTTTCAGGTTAATTATGTTCTGTGTTGTTTCTACTTTGTAGTTTTTGTAACAAATGGAGTTGGGTTTGGCAAAGGTGTTTTGTGTCTATTGAGATTTTTGTGGGGGAAAGTTTAAACTATAAATTGATTTCGTAATAAATACAGGGCTATTCAGGTTATCTTTTTCTTCTTGATTAAAATTTAATAATTTGGGATTTTCAAGGAATTTGATTCATCTGATTTGTTGAATTTATTAGCATAAAGCTATTCATATTATTCTCTTATTGCCTTTTTACTACTTATAGAAATTTAATGATCTTTCTTCTCTCCCATTCCTAATAGTCATAATTTATGTTCTTTGTTTCTCCTGATCTGTCTGGCAAAAGTTCTATTCATTTTAGTAATTTTAATTATTTTCTCAAATAATCTTCATAAAAGCACCCAGGCATTCTGAAAAATTTCAGGTATAAAACTAGCTTACTTTGAAAATATCGGAGAAACTTAAGATCAATCTCCATGACAACTTAAGGCTGTAAGATATTTATTTGGCAATTCTTTACCTACTTCTTCTTTGATCAAGGATGAACGGAACTTTCATCTCAAGGCTAGTTTGTTCTAATTCATCTGCAAGAATGCCAACAATTTAGGCCCTAATTCTTTTTCAAACGTAGTGCCTGATTCTTCACAAGCACAGTGTGGCCGGCCAACTGTGTGAATCTTTCTTCTGTTGGTTGTCTCAGGTTATTTAGACAGTTTGCTTTACTGGCATAACAATCCATCTGAGCTCTATGTATAATTGCTAACCTACCCAAACTGGATTGCCTTCCATCTGTTATCTTGTGTCGTTGTTAACATGCATTGAGGAGAGAGAGGCAAACAAAATTCAGGAATACATATAAACTTGTCTTTGCTTTGTATTTGCATTTTCTTTTTTCTTTTATTTTTGAGACAGAGTTTCACTCTTGTTGCCCAGGCTGGAGTGGAATGATGCGATCTCGGCTCACTGCAACCTCTGCCTCCCAGGTTCAAGCAATTCTTGTGCCTCAGGCTCCTGCATAGCTGGGATTACAGGCATGTGCCATCACGCCTGGCTAATTTTTGTATTTTTAGTAGAGACAGGGTTTTACCATGTTGGACATGCTGGTCTTGAACTCCTGACCTCAACTGATCCATCCACCTCGGCTTCCCAAAGTGCTGAGATTACAGGTGTGAGCCATATATTTGCATTTTCTTTCTCAACACTTGTATAAAAACATACGAGACTCAAGCATTATGTTGTGTAATATTTCATTGTAAAATACTTGTTTTTGTTACTGGACATAATGATGAGTGATTTACTGGCATTTCATTTTATCCCTATTACTACTTTCACTATTAGTTCTTATTATTTCTACTTTTCAAATGAGAAAACCAAAACTTATGGAACATTTACATTGTTCAGTGTTACAAAGATACCACACTCCAAAGCTCCCACTTATATAGTCTTATTTCACTATGGTGCCACTCAACTAAAAAAATGTGTATAACAGTCATTTGAATAAGAGAAGTCTATGGGCTTACTTTTGTTAATATAATCCAATGGTTTTATATCTACTCATTTTCTAAAACAACCCACTGTCAATGTATGACACTGTCATTACGCCTTTTTTCCTCCCATTTTAATTTGATCATAGTACTATCATTGCTCCCTGTATGAATTTATTTTCTCCTCTTTTACTTCCTCCCTACATTCATCCCTCTTTCTTTCCATCCTCTTCCTCCTCTTTCTTCAATACTGAGTGCCTGTAAATACATAATTTGCATAAAGAATTAAACAGACCGTTATCAATGCTTTGAATCTCTTCCTGTATTCCCACTCTTGCCAATTGTCCTCCTTGCATAAAGAATGTATCTCTTAAAATCTGAAATATAATGTTGTAGTGACTGCCCAAAATAAGAAACCTTTTGAGTAGGTGGAAAAGAAAACGTGCATTTGTCCTCCTTAGATCCTAACAATTATGACCATAATGTTTAAGTTTACTCTAATTTTCTTTATTGTGTCAAATCTGCTGTTTAATCCATTCACTAAAATTTTGATCCCCTTAATATTTATTATTCCAAGATAGTATTTTTTTCAAATTTCTCCTCATTCTTGATGGTTTCCTATTGTTTGAGCATCTTGTTAATTGCATCCATTATTTCTCTGATAATTTTGTGTACAGTATAATTTTCTTTAGTTTTATTGTACATCTGCATTTTTGTTGATCAAAATCAGTGGTTTCTCACTTCGTTTCCCCTTATCATAATAATTGCCATCCTCCCATCCAGATATTCCTGCCCATGCTCCAAAATTTATGAACTCTAGCTTATGAGTTCTCAACTTCATTCTCCCTTACCATGGCCTTTGTTTTCATGTGTTTCTAATCTGTTTTATTGCAAAGACAGCCTTAATTTTCATGTGTAGTATTCCTGTAGGCCTTATTTGTCTTATATTGCTGATGTACATCTGCCTCAGCTACTGATATAGCTTGGATATTTGTCTCCGTCTAAATCTCATGTTGAATTGTAATCCTCAATGATGGAAGTGGTGCCTGGTAGGTGGTGTTTGGATCACAGGGCAGATCCCTCATGGCTTAGTGCTGTTTTACTGATAGTGAGTTCTCCTGAAATCTGGTCATTTAAAAGTGTGTGGCATCTCCCCCCCACTGTCTTTCTCTCGCTCCTGCTTTTACTCTGTGAGGTGTCTGCTCCTGCCTCACCTTCCGCAACAACTGTAAACCTCTTGATGCATCCACAGAAGCAGATTCCGCATCCACAGTAACAGATTCCGCATCCACAGAAGCAGATTCCTCTATGCTTCCTGTACAGCCTGTGGAACCAGGAGCGATTAAATATCTTTTCCTATAAATTACCCCGTCTCAGGTATTTCTTTATAGCAATGCAAGAATGGCCTAAGACAGCTGGTAAAGGACATGTTCCTGTCTCTGGACTACTTTCAATCAACTCTTTCTCCAATGTTGGTAGCGAGCTAGTAGCGTAAATATTCCAAGCATCCTCATCTTCACCATGGCTTGTCATGGAAAACCACCTGCTTTTCCAGTATGGTGCATTGCCCCCACTGGCTATTTGCTTTTCCCATTCACTGCTGCCCCTGCTGGGACTTCCAGCTTCTTCAGCTTTGGCTCTGAAGGGTTCCTGTCTTGGTCAATTTGGGCTCTTATAACAAAGTACCATAGACTGGGTGGTTTATTAACAGAAATAATTATTTCTCATGGTTCTGGAGGTTGAAAGTCCAACATCAGGGTATTGCGTGGTCCGTTGGGTTCTGTTGTAGGTCCTTTTCTGAATTGTAGACTGCCAACTTACACTTGTATACTCTCCCATGGCAGTCTTGGCCTTTTTTTTTTTTTTTTTTTTTTTTTTTTTTTTTTTTTTTTTGAGACAGAGTCTTGCTCTGTCACTCAGGCTGTAGTGCAATGGTGTGATCTTTGCTTCCTGCAACTCCACTTCAATTCTCCTGTCTCAGCCTCCCTAGTAGCTGGGACTATAGGTGCATACCACCCCACACGGCTAATTTTTGTATTTTTAGTGGAGATGGGGTTTCACCATATTGGTGAGGCTGGTCTCGAATTCCTGACCTGAGGTGATCCGCCCGCCTCAGCCTCCCAAAGTGCTGGGATTACAGGCGTGAGCCACTGCGCCCAGACTGAGGTCCCTTTCATAAGCGTGCTTATCCCATTCATGAGGGCTCCATTTCTACCTAATATCAGTATTTCCCCTTACTATGATTTATTTATTTATTTTATTTTATTTTATTTTAATTTTATTTTATTTTTGACAAGGTTTCAGTTTTTTGCCCAGGCTGGAGTGCTGTGGCACGGTTATGCTCACTTCAGCCTCCACCACTAGGGCTCAAGTTATCCTCCTGCCTCTGCCTTCTGAACAGTTGGGACTATAGGCATGAGCCACTATGCCCAGCCCCCCTTAATATAAATTTTAAGGGGGCACAAATATTCAGTCCATAATAGTTGTCACCCTGCCACCCAGGTATTTCTGCCCAGGCTCCAAAATTTGTGAGCCCTAGCTTCTGAGCTCTAAAATGTAGGTGTTTATCTATGCTAGCTTTTTCATCACCTCTTCAGTGCACCAAACCCATGTTATTTTGGAGTAAATCTCAAAGACCAGTAATATGTCCAAAAGTGATTAATACCCTGGATCTAGCTATATAGAGAAATAGTAGAGTCCCTCAGAATTCTCCAGAAGGTGCTTCTTTGTTTTTCCCATTCTTTCCTTTTCATAGGTGTATGTGTTTATCTTCTCTTTTCATAAATGTTTATGATTCCAAGTTTTTAAATGTGTTCTTGGTGTTCCCACCTGTTTTTCTTTTAACTTTAACTGCAATATGTGAATCCTTTTAGGTTTTATAGTTCATGTCTTTTATTTTCTGATGTCTCATTTATGTGTCAACTGCACACATCCACTGAATTTACAGGTAGCTCAAAACTCAGTTTTCCCCAACTATCATTATGTTTATATCATCTTCTATTTTTAAACTCTCACTTACATTTTAGTGTCTTCTATATTACCTTTAGCCTATAAAAGATACCACCTCCTCAGTCTCTCAGATAGTAAACAAATTGCCATTCTTGATACTTCCTTGACTCAACTACTTCCTTATGTCCTAAAATCAATGTTTCTAATTTCTTAAATAAAATGCCTATTTATTTTCTCTTTAATGTGCTCCTGAATAGGATTCACTTTTCTTTAGTCTCCTCTGAACTGTGAGGTTTTCTCCATGCTTGCCCCTTGTAAGTCAAATTACAATTTGTTTTACCTTTCTAAAGTTCAATTTTGCTTCTGCTATATCCCTCTCTTTTCATCTCTATTTTTAGATTAAAATAATTGCATGGATATATCTTTTTTAAATAAAAACTTTAAACTACAAAGCATGCCATTCAAGGGACTGAGCTCTACTTACCTTTTCAGACTTCTGATGTGATCTTGTTCTGAATGATATTCCATTTGTCTTTGGATTTCCACGTATTTTTATATGGTATAGTCCTAAATAGTATTTGCAGTTAGTTGGTTCTTAGTAACTGTTCACTATATAGCTGCTAAAATATGAAACAGAGATAAGAATCCCTTTATTTATCCTATGATTATGTATGTAGGTAATATCTATATAAAATTATATCAGAAACATTATGAATATGAATATCAGAAGATAAATATAAGACCCTTATAAATATCACACAATAATTCACCAGCTCTTAATTATTGATGTTTACTTAAGAAGGGACATATACATAATGTTTAATCTTAATTTTGGTCATTTAGTATATAACCAATGCAGAAGATGCAAAAATGTATTTACAGTTTTGTACACTTAGACTTATCAGTCATTATGCCTGTGCATACATAATAATGTTGTTTGGCTAAATTATAAGAGCCCAGGCTCTGACATTACTGTGGTTCAAATCTACATTCTATTACTTAGCAGCTTTGTGATCTTGGGCAAATTTATTGACAACAATAAGATTCAGTTTCTTAATTTAAAAATATGAGTATAATAATACTTCAAAGTGGTACTAAAACTATTAATGTTTTAGCAGGATATCTGACAAAATTAAAACAACATAATGGTATCATCTGACAGTTCTGGAAGTCACAATTTCTGGAATCAAGGTGTGGACAGGGCTGCTTTTCTTTTGGAGACTCTAAAGGAGATTCTGTTTTTTTTCAGCTTTTAGAAGCCTGAATTCCTTCTCTTGTAACCCATTTTCCAGCTTTAAAGCAAGTATTATAACATCTTCAACTCTTTCTCTCTCTCTCACTGACACTTGCTTATGTCTTCACAGGTTTCTTCTGGCTCTCCTGCCTCCCCTTTTCTCTTATAACAACTCTTGGGATTTTATTGGGCATATCTGGATAATCCAGATTAACTCTCCTTAAATTACTCACATCAGCAAAGCCTATTCTCCATGCAAAATAACATATTGACAAGTTCTGTAGATTAAGACATGGATATTTTTGAGGAGGTGGTAATATTGTAAATGCAAAACAAGTATTTTGGGCTGTGGGTAGGAAAAAGAGTGACAATCAGGCCCTGAAGTTTGTTTGGGATATTAAGTAATTATTTTTTAACGACAGGAGAGTAAAAAGTGTTCGATCATCTTAGAGAAAAATTCTGTCAGTGGTTCCCAAAAACATATAGAATGGAAAATAATTTGCACATTCATTAGTAAGCTATAAAAATACCACAATCCTTTTTTGAATGTAAATTTCTTCATCTTGATTTTATAGAGGTACATTTTGCATTAATAAGTATATAATGTGGAGACATTTGAAAACTTTATAAACTGTCCCAAATGAAGTAAAGAATATATTGCAGTTAATTGGTACACTCCTGCCCCTGACAACTGCCTATTTGATTTCTCTAACTACAGCTTAGTTTCGTTTGGCCTATAAATGTATACAAATGGAGCCAAAGTCGATGTGTTTTTTTGAGTTCAGCTTACTTAATTCAGCATACTATTTTGAGATACATCCAAACGCCTCACTAGTGAATTTATTATTTCCCCAATACTCAGTGGCTTAAAACAACAAACATTCCTTATCTCACAGTTTCTGTGAGTCAGGAATTCAGTCATGGCTTAGCTGAGTGCCTCTGTTTCAGGAACTCTCATGGCTGTGATCAAGGTGTTAGCTGGGGTTGCAATCATTTCAAGACAAAATTTTGTGGAAAATCTCCTTCCAAGATACCTGTGTGTCTCTGGGCAGGCCTCAGGTTCATGTTGGCTGTGGACTGGAGTCATCAGTTTTCTTGCCACGTGAGCCTCTCCTTAGGGCTTCTCATGCATGGCAGCTTTCTGCCCTGAGTGAGGGCTCCAAGATAGAGAGCAACAAAGAGTGATAGATGATAAGAGGGAGTAAGCATGACAGAAGCCAATATCATTTTATAACCTATATTTCCAAGTGACATCCATCACTTTTATCTTATTACAAGGAGTCGCTATGTCCCACCCAAACTCAAAAAGACGACATTACACAAGGGTGTAAATGACAGGAGACAGTACACATTAGAGGTAATTCCAATAGCTGCCTACCAGAGACTGCCCTCTGACACCTCAGTGATTCATGTTTCTCTCACAAAATACACTTCTCTTCACCCAAGTACCCCAAAAGTATCATCCCATTATAGTGTTATCTCAAAGTCCAGAATCTCATGATCTATTTCAAGCCCAGGTGTTGATGTGTCCATTTTTAACTGGACTAATTGCCTTTTTGTTGAGTTGTGCTGTTTATAAATTCTAGATATTTAAGCCCATGTCCTTGTATATAGTTTCTCTTCATCTGTAGTTCTGTGAAGCTACAAAGAAATGTTATTTGCCCCCCAAAATACAAAATGCAATGCTGATACAAGCATAGAAAAATGAATACAGCTATTCCTTTTCAAAAACAGCAAAATGGCAGACACAAAAGAGTACATAGCAATTCTGAAATTCAGCCAGAGAAATATTAGAAGTTCCTTGATTAGGGCTCAAGGCCTAGGAATAATTTTCATGACTACACTCTGTGGACTTTTTTTTTCTGCAGTCTGTCTTGGTCTTCCTTTTCTTTTTTTCCTTTTTTTTTGGCATGGAAAGTTTGGATGGATTTGCAACTGAATAGTTTTCTTAGCTGGCATACTGCCATTAGAATTCTGGGGATAGAATAATCTCTTTGTTTCTGTTAAATTATATTGTCACATTAAATTAAATTTTAAATTACATTAGAAAACTATGTTAAAATTCAGGTTATAGTTACATGTGTGGGGATACATTTTTGGACTAATCTGTCCCTTTAATCTGAATGTCTATATTTTATACTAATGTAATTTTCTTGTGAGACCTGAAATCAAGTACTGTTAATCTGCTGATTATGTTTTTTTTTCAAACTGTTTGACAATTATAGGTCATTTCCATTTTCATGTATCTTTTAGAATCAGCTTGTTAATTTCTTTAAAAAGTCCCTTGTTATATTAATTGGAATTTCACATACTTTATGAGTGAATTTCAGGGAAAATATATGTGTAATATTTTGAGAAATTGACAAATGCTTATCAAAATGGCTACACCACTTTACAATCTATCTGCAATATATAATGTTTTAATTTTTCCTTACCCTTGCCACTACTTATGTCTTTTAAAAACTTTAGCTCTCCTAATGACTGTGAAGTGGCAACCCATTGTGGTTTTCATTTACATTTCTGTAATGACTAATGATGTTGATTATCTTTATTTATTGTTTACATATCTTCTTTTGAGAAGTGTGTACTCAAATTCTGCATTCCTTTTTAATTAGGCTATTTGCCTTATTGTTGAGTTGTGCTACTTATAAATTCTAGATACTAGATCCTTATCAGATATAATAATTTGTACATACTGTCTCCCACTCTGTGAGTCGTACTTTCACTTTTTTGGTAGCACATTTTGAAGCACAACAGTTTTAATGTATATAATTTATCTATATTTTTATTTGTCCATGCTTTTGACATCATAGTTACAAAACATTGCTTATTCTAATGTTGTAAAGATTTACATTTGTGTTTCATTTTAAGAGTTTTATTGTTTTATCTATTACATTTAGGCTTTTGATTTACTTCCAGTTAACTTTTGCTTATAAGGTGTTGGAATACAACTTTTCAGCCTATAGAACTGTCTTTAGTATTTCTGGAGGGCAGATCTACTAGCAAAAAATTTCTCAGTAGTTGTTTATCTAGGAACATTGTAATTTCTCCATCATTTTTAACAGCTAGTTTGCTAGATATTGAACTTTAGTTGATAGTAGTTTTCTTTCAGCATGTTGAATATATAATCCAACTCCCTCCTAGCTTCTGTGGTTTTTTATTAGAAATCAGCTGTTCAATGTCTTGCAGGTAACAAGATTCTTTTCTCTTGCTACTTTCAGGATTCTGGCTTTGTTTTGTCTTCTAGGAGTTTGATAGCAATGTATATCAATATGAATCCCTTTTAGTTTATGCTACTTGAGGTTCATTGAGCTACTGGAATGTAGATTTATGGTTTCTATCAAATAGAGAAAGTTTTGCGGCTTTATATCTTCAAGTGTTCTTTCTGTCTCCTTTTCTCTCTCTATTTCTGTGACTCCCATTATCCATATGTTCTTAGGCTTGGTGGTATCTTATATGCTGTTTATTTTTTTGTCATTCTTTTTCCTTTCTCTTTATTAGACTGAATAATCTCAATTGACCTCTTGTCAATGTTGCTGTTTCTTTCTTCTGCCTTCTTTTAAATCTGTTGTTGTGCCCTTCTAGTAAGTTTTCAATTTCCATTATTATACTTTTCTTTTTCAGATATGTTAGTTGTGTCTTATAATGTTTATTTTGTTATTGATTTTTTCTATTTTGTGAGATATTGTCTTTATACTTCTATTATAAATATTATAATGTGGCAAATCTGGAAATCAGGTTCTCCCCTCTCTATGGTGTTTGTTGTTGCTGCCATTTGTTGTTATTGTTGTTGTTAATAAGTTTTCTGCAATAGTTTTGTAAAATCTTTATTTCTGGTTGTATTTGCTTGTGGAAGTCTCAGCTTGCCTTAATTATCAGTGAGTTAATGATTTGACAGAGATTTTTAAATATCTGGAACCAATATATATATTAACATTTACTATGGGGCAGCGTTGTATATGTTGAGGTATACCTTCAACACTCAGCTGGAAAGTTTACAACTCCACCTTTGTCATACATTTCTGCTTGCAAAGACCCCAAGTTTAACTAGAAGTTAGATCTATGTTCTTTGTATGTCTTTTAAACTTTAATTACTTCTCCAGATATTTGCAAAATCTACAAATGCATGTGACTTCTAGATTTTCTGAAATATGTCAGAGCTTTGAAATTTCCTTATAAATCTCTAATTCCCTAGCTTTTCCTTTTAAGCTTTTTTAGTTATTCTATTGTTTGTTTTGTTATTCACCATTTCAGGCAGCTTTGCTATTCAAGAATTTCCTCTGATTGTTTCTGAAAAACCTCTGTGGTAAAAGCTATTTGCATTAGGTAAATTCTGAGTCAGAACAAATAACAACAAACTTGAGAGTGGGGTCTTCCGAGGAACCATCAGAGTTCACATAATTAGAATTTTAGGGGTATGTAGCTTGAAGGAACTCCAGCTCAATTCTGTTCCCTCCAGTGGCTACCAGGCTGCTGATTTTGACCTTGATTTGTGGATCTTGGTTTTCAAGGCTGCAGTGGAGGTGGAGGGAGGGGAATAGAGCAAATTAACATAACTCAAAGCTCATTGTTGAAGATATGAAGATTCAGACATTTTTCTTATATACATTTTTCTTTCTTATATACATTTCTTTCTCATATACATTTTTCTTCTATACATCCCTGGAATGCTGCAAGATTTTGGTCAATTTCCCAAGTTTGGAAACAGTTACTTATTACAATTTTTGGCAGTATTTTCATTGCTTTAATGGAAGAAATAATTTGGAGGTTGTTTTTCCACCATTTCTACTGAAGTCTCCATACAATTATATATAATATGATGATTTATAAGACTTGGTAGATGTCTACAATATTGTTTTTATTTTAATTGTGTCCCCTCTGTTTTTGTTTTCTAATGTTTCTTTCTGCTTTATCTTGGTTTATTCAAATACTTTCATTATTCTGTTTTAATTTCTCTATGACTTTTTCAGTTATGCATCACTTTATTTATTCAAATGCTAATAATATCCATTAATAAAATAATATATTGAAGTATATTTGGAGTAAATATTGTACCACTTCTCATCTGATACTTTATATTTGCTAGGCTATTTCCTTTGCTTATTTCCTTCATGACGTTTTCTACTAATTTTTCCTTTACCCTTCAAGCCTCCTTATTCGCAACTACTCTGCTTTTATGACAATATAATTACAATTACCTATCCCTTCCATTTTTTCTACGTTTGTCATACGTATTATTTGTGACCTTATAAAACCCAGCTTATAATGTTATTATTTTTGCTTTTAATAGTAGGTTGTCTGTTTAAATTGAGATTTACAAAAAAACACATTTTTTATATTGATCTCTTGACTGACTTTAGAATTCCACTGAGCCAAGTTTTCTCCTGGTATTATTTTAATATTTTTACACATTTTTGTGTTTTTTAAATTTTTGTTTACTTATTTGATATGCCTTATTGAAATTAATAATAAAATTTTCAATTATCATATTTTATTTTTAATAATATTTATTAAAAATCAGATGTGCATGGTTACTGGAGTTATGAAAATGAATGAAATTTGGCTCCTCCCCTCAATGAGAGTGAAGTTGGAAAGATGAAACCTTTAAAAGAAAAGATAGTATAATAGGGAAGTATTGAATGACAAGGCATTCTTTGGCATCAGAATGGAGTGGCAGCTTATTACAATGAGAAGTTCAGAAGCAACTTCACAGAGGATGGAAAACCACTAAAATCCGGGCAGATAAATAGAAACTATCTAGTTTGAAGGGGATTAGATGTGGATGGGTTGGCACTTTTAAAGCCAGATTATACAGTTTAGTTTGCTGAAATTCAGAGTGAATGAGCCAAATGATTCTGTGAGAAACCTAGACAGGCATCAGATCAAGATGCCTTCCTTCTGAGACTGTGGGGAAGCTCTCAAATATTTTATGCAGAAAAGGATCAAACTCCAATTTCAGAAATAACACATTGACAAGCAGGGTGAATGGACTGGATGGAGAGATGAACAGGAACAGAGGTAATGAGACCACTTACAGGATAAGTACGACAATCTAAGTAAGAAAGTATGATGTATGAATGAACCCAGTGGTAACTGTGATGGAGAGAAGGGGTGGATTTGGGAGACTTCTAAGAAGAAAGAATCACAAACACTTTGAAAGCTTATAGTGAGGAGAAATGATGAAAGAAAAATCGATATTAACCATAAAATTTCAATCTTGGGTTACTGAGAGAAGAGTAAGAAAGTGCCAGCTTCTTACTCTGATACATACAAGAGAAGATACAGAATGAGTTCAGACTCGTAAGTGAATACTTTGGACTTTACGATTGAAAAAGTTCTGGGTCGGGCACGATGGCTGACGCCTGTGATCCCAGCAATTTGGGAGACTGGGACAGGCAGATCGCCTGAGGTCAGGAGTTTGAGACCAGTCTGACCAACATGGTGAAACCCTGTCCCTACTAAATATACAAAAATAGCCGGGTGTGGTGGTGGGCACCTGTAATCCCAGCTACTCGGGAGGCTGAGGCAGGAGAATTGCTTGAACCTGGGAGGCCGAGGTTGCAGTGAGCCGAGTTCATGTCATTGCACTCCAGCCTGGGTGGCAGAGCGAGACTCTGTCTCAAAAGAAAAAAAAAAATGTTTTTTGAATAAAATTTCCATTTTTAATGAACTTAACTGTGAAAAGAATTTGTGCACAGCAGCAGACTTTGCAGGATTTTTATTTCAATGTGGAGAGTTATATGGGCTCAACCCTGGGTTGAGTAACCCCATTCTCTAGCACAGGAAAACTTTAAAAAGACACTCTTTAACTGTCTTCCTTAGTTTGCCTCAACCCACAGCTTCTCCCCATTCGTTGAATTCCCAGAGCGA
This sequence comes from Homo sapiens, assembly GCF_000001405.40. Taxonomy (NCBI): domain Eukaryota; kingdom Metazoa; phylum Chordata; class Mammalia; order Primates; family Hominidae; genus Homo; species Homo sapiens. The sequence continues at coordinate 19,765,648 of NC_000005.10, read as the reverse complement.
GGACTCAATAGGTCAGAGTTTTGCATTTTGGTTCTTTAGTGTATTGAATTAGCTTCATTGTGTTTTTAAATTTCTCCCTCTTTATAAAATTATGTTATTCAATAACCAGAAGATGTTCTGTGACGTTAGATCAGTTTCTGTCAAATAATATGGTTTAATTCACAAGGTGGATAATTAAGAGAAAAAATGTGATGAGAAATCCCCAAACAAATAATTTTTGAATAACTTTTAGCTTTTTTATTAAAAAAAAAATAAAAAAAGAAACAGGACTATAGATTGAGATTGTCTTTTTTTCTGGGAAAATTTTCCCTCAAGGGAAAGTGAGTTTCCCTTAATGCCTTTATTGGAATATCAACTATTCTGTGGATCTCACTCTTACTTGCTCACTGAGCTAAAAACTTCTTGAGGACAATGGCCCCTGTTTGATTCACCTTAGCACATCACTTGATACATAGCGGGGATGCAGTTAATTCTTTCTTCCATTCAGTTACATTGAATTGGATTTTAGCTGAGAATACACATGAGAACATATTGATAAAGGCCAGAACTATGGCTGAATAAAGGTATAGAAATGACAGGGCTTATGTGGGAGACATGAGAGATGGTCAGGGATACAAATCCAAAAAAAATTTAAGAAAGACTTCTGTAAGCAGTCATTTGAAAAAATATTAACTGGAAATACCTAGAAAACTTGATGAAATGGCCTAGTAATTATAGCCAAATTAAGGACAGAATTTAGCAAGAATGAGCACAAGGAAAGTCAAATTCTTATGCAATGCAGAATGAGAATCAAGCAAAGCTTCGAGACTGCATGGAAATGAGATTTTACCTTGTTTTTCTGTTGACTCTTAATATACTGACAAAGAGTGGTAAAACATTCTGACTTTTTCACATAACTGGCTCAAATAAAACCCATAACCTTTTAAAAGATAATAACTATATACACACACACATATATGGTTATAAAGATATATATACATATATGTGTATGTGTGTGTGTATATATATATATATATATATATATGAAGAAATAGAATCCTACTTAATCAATTAAAACTATGAAAGATGCATAAAGGGAACTAAGTCATTAAAGCATAGTTTTCTTCTCTACCTTCCCTCAAGTGACTCATGCCTTGGTTATATTCTTCCCTAACTTTATATGTGTTTATATTAATAAATATGAATACCACATATATGGAGTTTTATTATTTATAATTTTTAGCAAAATACAACCTTACGTTGTACATTATATCGTATTTTGACACAATGTGATTTTCTCAATTACCAACAAATTATGGGTAGTTCTTCAGAGCTAACACATTTATACTATTATTTTAATAATCATTCATATTTCCTTAAGTATTTACCCTCCAGCCAGATCTTTACATTCCTTTTTGTCTCTCAAATAATCAACAATGATTATTGCTATATAAATCTCCTTGCATATATGTACTGTATTTTTTTTTTTTTTTTGAGACAGAGTCTCGCTCTGTTGCCCAGGCTGGAGTGCAGAGTACAGTGGCACGATCTTGGCTAACTGCAAGCTCCACCTCCTGGGTTCAAGCGATTTCTCCTGTCTCAGCCTCCCAAGTAGCTGGGATTACAGGCATCTGCCACCACACCCAGCTAATTTTTTTTTTTTTTTTTTTTTTTTGTATTTTTAGTAGAGACGAGGTTTCATCATGTTGGTCAGGCTGGTCTCAAATTCTTGACCTCAGGTGATCCACCCTCCTTGGCCTCCCAAAGTGTTGGGATTACAGGTGTGAGCCACTGTGCCCAGCCTCATGTGCTATATTTTTACTTCGTTCCAGGACACTAATATGCTTTTGTTTTCCATCTATTTCCTGGTTGCACTTTCTCAATATTTTTGTGGTCTCCCTGGCTTTTTAACTTTGAGGTATTACAGGCTTCTAAACTAAATTCTTCTCTTCTCACCTATTCTTATTTTAGTGTTCAGTTCATCCAATTTCGTTGCTCCAAATGCCAACTTTGTGTCAATGTTCTCTAAGTTCATAAGGCCAATAAAATGCCTCTTGTGAACTTCAGGCTGCATATACAAATGACTTCTCTATATATCTGCTGAGACCTTCAACAAAAAATATCACATTTAGCATGCCTCAAATTGAGTTCTTGATCACTTTTAAACTTCCTGTACCTGGATTCTTCCACATTTCAGTTGATTGCAACTTCAATTATGCAGTAACTATGGCCAAACACCAAACATTTGTACTTGACTTCTCATTTGTCTTATACTTCATATCTACTCTTTGAGAAGCCTTTGTTTGTGCTACTTTCAGGATATATTTCTGATTGGATAATTTCTTATTTCTTTCACAAATACCACCCTGGTCCATGCTCCCATTAACAATCTTCTATTCACTGCTATAGCATTATTTCATTTCTTGTACATTAAGTCCTAGGATACATGTGCACAACGTGCAGGTTTGTCACATATGTATACATGTGCCATGTTGGTTTGCTGCACCCATTAACTCATCATTTACATTAGGTATTTCTCCTAATGCTATCCCTCCCCCATCCCCAGACCCCATGACAGGCCCTGGTGTGTGATATTCCCTGCCTTGTGTCCAAGTGTTCTCATTGTTCAATTCTCACCTATGAGTGAGAACATGTGGTGTTTGGTTTTCTGTTCTTGCAATAGTTTGCTGAGAATGACGGTTTCCAGCTTCATCCATGTCCCTACAAAGGACAGGAACTCATCCTTTTTTATGGTTGCATAGTATTCCATGGTGTATATGTGCCACATTTTCTTAATCCAGTCTATCATTGATGGACATTTGGGTTGGTTCCAAGTCTTTGCTATTGTGAATAGTGCTGCAACAAACATACGTGTGCATGTGTCTTTATGGTAGCATGATTTATAATCCTTTGGGTGTATACCCAGTAATGGGATCACTGGGTCATGTGGTATTTCTAGTTCTACATCCTTGAGGAATCGCCACAATGTCTTCCACAGTGGTTGAACTAGTTTACACTCCCACCGACAGTGTAAAAGCATTCCTATTTCTCCACATCCTCTCCAACACCTGTTATTTCCTGACTTTTTAATGATCACCATTCTAACTGGTGTGAGTGGTATCAAAACCACTGGTGTGGTTTTGATTTGCATTTCTCTGATGGCCAGTGATGATGAGCATTATTTCATGTGTCTGTTGGCTGCATAAATGTCTTCTTTTGAAGTGTCTGTTCATACACTTTGCCCACTTTTTGATGGGGTTGTTTGATTTTTTTCTTGTAAATTTGTTTAAGTTTTTTGTAGATTATGGATATTAGCCCTTTGACAGATGAGGAGATTGCAAAAATTTTCTCCCATTCTGTAGGTTGCCTGTTCACTCTGATGGTAGTTTCTTTTGCTGTGCAGAAGCTCTTTAGTTTAATTAGATCCCATTTGTCTATTTTGTCTTTTGTTGCCATTGCTTTTGGTGTTTTAGACATGAAGTCCCTGCTCATCCCTATGTCCTGAATGGTATTGCCTAGGGTTTCTTCTAGGGTTTTTATGGTTTTAGGTCTAACATGTAAGTCTTTATTCCATCTTGAATTAATTTTTGTGTAAGGTGCAAGGAAGGGATCCAGTTTCAGCTTTCTACATATGGCTAGACAGTTTTCCCAGCACCATTTATTAAATAGGGAATCCTTTCCCCATTGCTTGTTTTTCTCAGGTTTGTCAAATATCAGATGGTTGTAGATGTGTGGTATGATTTCTGAGGGCTCTGTTCTGTTCCATTGGTCTATATCTCTGTTTTGGTACCAGTACCATGCTGTTTTGGTTACTGTAGCCTTGTAGTATAGTTTGAAGTCAGGTAGTATGATGCCTCCAGCTTTGTTCTTTTGGCTTAGGATTCTCTTGGCAATGTGGGCTCTTTTTTGGTTCCATATGAACTTTAAAGTAGTTTTTTCCAATTCTGTGAAGAAAGTCATTGGTAGCTTGATGGGGATGGCATTGAATCTATAAATTACCTTGGGCAGTATGACCATTTTCATGACATTGATTCTTCCTATCCGTGACCATGGAATGTTCTTCCATTTGTTTGTGTCCTCTTTTATTTTGTTGGGCAGTTTTTTTTTGGGTTTCTGCAGTTAGATGCCTAATATGATTAGACCCAGAAATGCTAAGGACTCTACTTCTAATAGTATGGAGAACACTGATAGTCCTTTGCAGAAACTCTTTAGAGAGTTATGCAAAATAAATGCATTTGAAACGCCTGATTTACTGCTCAGAAGAGGCAAGAAGTTTAGTGACTCTATACATAATACCTTTGACTATATGTGGAGATCCAAGGAACATAATGAAGCTGGTTGGTTACTCCTAAGTTCAGTGCACAAAGTGATGAAAGAAAATTATGAACTGAGAGATTCTATCTCCTGGCTTCAGAAGCAGATACTGAGCCTCAAATTTGCTAAGATTGCCCTGAGTGAGATTCTTATCTCCTGTAGAGAAACAGCTGAAATTGCGGAAAAACAGACATAAGCTCTTATCATGTGAGTGGCTGACCTGCAGTGAAAGATGCATGCACGACCTCGCCAGGTATCTACTGTTAAATTGAGGGCATTGACTGGAAAAGAAGGGGACCCTGAAACTTGGAATGGGGACATGTGGGAGGACCCCAATAAACCTGGGGATGCTGGGTTTGTAAACTCTGGTGAATATTTTTTGGCCAGAATGAAGAGCTTCCCCATCCCCAGTAGTGGCGACATCCACTCCCCAACCCATGCTGCTGTCAGCCTTTCTACCTTTGGCTGAGAACATAAACTCTGTGCTGCCTGAGGCAACGGCAACAGTGATGGCCTCCCCTGAGGTAGTTGCCAGGCAAGATAATGTTGATCATCCTCAGGAGCCACCCCCATCATCTCTGCTTCTAAATCTATAACTAAAGTCCCGGCAGGCCACTAGAGGTGAGGTTGAGATTGTGACACATGAGGACATGCACCACACTTGAAAAGAACTGTTTGAGTTCTCTAATTTATGTAAACAGAAATCTGGAGGACAGGCATGGGGATGGATATTAAGGGTGTGGGATAATGGTGGAAGGAACACAGAGTCGGATCAGGCTGAATTTATTGATCTGGGCTCACTAAGTAGGAACTCTGCTTTTAATGTTCAACTCTGGGCATTGTAAAAGTCTCTAATGCTTTATTTGCATTGTTAGCCAAAATATGGATTAAAAGATGGGCCACCGTGAGCAAGCTGGAAATGCCTGATCTTTCCTGGTTGTAGAGGAAGAGATCCAAAGGGCTAGGGAAATCGGGATCGTGGAGTGGATTAGTCACTTTAGACCTACTCATCCCAGCTGGGAGAGTCCAGAAGATATACCCTTGACCAAAGCCTTGTGAAATAGATTTTTGACGGCAGCACCTGCATCTTTAAAGAGCCCTGCAATTGCTCTTCTCTGTGTATCAGATCTAATGGTGGGAACTGCAGTTATTCAACTATAAAATTTAAATACAATGGGAATAATTTGATCCCAAGGTGGCAGGAGCCAAGTGGCAGCATTCATCTGTCAAAGGCAAGGTGGGTGTAGCTACCATAATGGACAGCAGACGCAAAGTGGCAATCAGAATAGTGTGACTCGCGTAGAGCTCTGGCATTGGCTAATTAATCACTGTGTCCCTAGAAGTGAAATTGATAGGAAGCCTACTGCATTCCTATTTAATTTATACAAGCAGAAAACTTCTAGGTTAAATGGACAAAATACTAATTTGAATTATAAAAATAGAATCATGGCCCCTCAATTCATTTCCAGACTTGAGCCAGTTTACAGACCCAGAACCCCTGGAGTGAAGGAGAGGCGAGGTCCCCTTGAAGAACGGTACCCCTAATGTAGGGCCCCCACTACATTTCCGACAATTTATGGAGTGAATATTTTTCCCCTCCTTCCCCAAGGAGGCCTCCAGCCTTTTATCAGGTTAACCATGCATTGGGGAAAGGAAAATGATCAGACATTTCAGGGACTACTGGACACTGGCTCTGAGCTGACGTTGATTCCAAGGGACACAAGACATCATTGTGGTCCTCCAGTTAAAGTAGGGGATTATGGGGGTCAGGTAATTAATGGAGTTTTAGCTCTGGTCTGACTTACAGTGGGCCCAGTGGGTCCCTGGACTCGGCCTGTGGTAATTTCCCCAGTGCCAGAATGCATAATTGGCATAGACATACTTAGTAGCTGGCAGAACCCCCACATTACCTCCCTGACTGGTAGGTTGAGGGGTATTATGGTGGGAAAGGCCAAATGGAAGCCTTTAGAGCTGCCTCTACCTATAAAAATAGTAAATCGAAGAAAATATTGCATCCCTGGAGGGATTGCAGACATTAGTGCCACCATCAAGGAGTTGAAAGATGCAAGGGTGGTGATTCCCACCACATCCCCATTCAACTCTTCCATTTGGCCTGTGCAGAAAACAGGTGGATCTTGGAGAATGAGAGTGGATTATTATAAGCTTAACCAAGCAGTGACTCCAATTGCAGCTGCTGTACCAGATGTGGTTTCATTGCTTGAGCAAATTAAAACATTTCCTGGTAACTGATATGCAACCATTGACTTGGCAAATGCCTTTTTCTCCATTCCTATCCATAAGGCCCACCAGAAGCAATTTGCCTTCAGCTGGCAAGGCCAGCAATATACCTTTGCTGTCCTACCTCAGAGGTATATCAACTCTCTGGTTTTGTGTCATAATCTTATTCAGAGAGACTTTGATCGCTTTTCGCTTCTGCAAGATATCACACTGGTCCATTACATTGGTGACATTGTGCTGATCAGATCCAGTGAGCAAGAAAGAGCAAACACAGTGGACTTATTGGTGAGACATTTGCGTGCCAGAGGATGGGGAATAAATCCAACTACAATTCAAGGACCTTCTACTTCAGTAAAATTTCTAGGGTTCCAGTGGTGTGGGGCCTGTCAAGATATCCCTTCTAAGGTGAAGGATAAATTGCTGCATTTGGCACCTCCTACAATGAAGAAAGAGGCGCAATGCTTAGTGGGGCTATTTAGGTTTTGGAGGCAACACATTCCTCGTTTAGTGTGTTACTCTGGCCCATTTATTGGGTGACCCGAAAGTCTGCCAATTATGAGTGGGATACAGAACAGGAGAAGGCTCTGCAACAGATCCAGGCTTCTGTGCAAGCTGCTCTGCCACTTAAGCCACATGACCCAGTAGATCCAACGGTGCTTGAGGTGTCAGTGGCAGACAGGGATGTTGTTTGGAGCCTTTTGCAGGCCACCATAGGTGAATCACAGTGGAGGCCTCTATGATTTTGGAGCAATGCCCTGCCATCTTCTGCATATAATTACTGTCCTTTTGAGAGGCAGCTCTTGGCCTGTTACTGGACTTTGGTGGAAACTGAACATTTGACTACATGTCACCAAGTCACCATGCGACCTGTACTGCCTATCATTAACTGGTTGCTTTCTGACCCATCTAGCCATAAAGTGGGTCATACACAGCAGCGTTCTATCATCAAATAGAAGTGGTTATATATATGATCAGGCTCTAGCAGGTCCTGAAGGTACAAGTAAGTTACATGAGAAAGTGGCTCAAATGCCCATGGTCTCCACTCCTGCCACCCTGCCTTCTCTTCCCCAGTCTGCACTGAAGGCCTCATGGGAGGTTCCCTATGATCAGTTGACAGAGGAAGAGAAGACTCGAGCCTGGTTCACAGATGGTTCTGCACGATATTCAGGCACCACCCAAAAGTGGACAGCTGCACCACTACAGCCCCTTTTAAGGACATCCCTGAAGGACAACGGTGAAGGGAAATCTTCCCAATGGGCAGAACTTCAAACAGTGCACGTGGTTGTGCACTTTGCATGGAAGGAGTAATGGCCAGATGTGTGATTATCTACTGATTCCTGGGCTGTAGCCTATGGTTTGTCTGGATGGCCAGGGACTTGGAAGAAGCATGATCGGAAAATTGGTGACAAAGAAATTTGGGGAAGAGTTATGTGGGTGGACCTCTCTGAGTGGTCAAAAACTGAAGACATTTGTACTCCATGAGAGTGCTCACCAATAGGTGAGCTCAACTGAGGAGGATTTTAATAATCAAGTGGATAGAATGACCTGATCTGTGGATACCACTCAGCCGCTTTCCCCAGCCACCCCTGACATAGCCAAATGGGTCCATGAACAAAGTGGCCATGTTGGCAGGGATGGAGGTTACACATGGGCTCAGCAACATGGACGTCCACTCACCAAGGCTGACCTGGCTACAGCCACTGCTGAGTGCCCAGTTTGCCAGCAGCAGAGACCAACACTGAGCCCTCAATATGGCACCATTCCTCGGGGAGATCAGCCAGCTACCTGATGACAGGTTGATTATATTGAACCTCCTCCATCATGGAAAGGTCAGAGGTTGGTCTTCACTGGAATAGACACTTACTCTGCATATGGGTTTGCCTATCGTGCACACAATGCTTTTGCCAAGACTACCATCCATGGACTCATGGAATGCCTTATCCACCCTCATGGTATTCCACACAGCATTGCCTCTAACTAAGGCACTCACTTTACAACAAAAAAGTGTGGCAGTGGGCTTATCCTCATGGAATTAACTGGTCTTACCATGTTTCCCATCATCCTGAAGTAGCTGGATTGATAGAATGGTGGAATGGCCTTTTGAAGTCACAATTACAACACCAACTAGGTAACAATACTTTGCAGGGCTGAGGCAAAGTTATCCAGAAGGCTGGGTATGCTCTGAATCAGCATCCGCTATATTGTACTGTTTCTCCCATAGCGAAGATTCATGGATCCGGGAATCAAGGAATAGAAGCATAAGTGGCAACACACACCATCTCCCCTAGTGATCCACTAGCAAAATATTTGCTTCCTGTTACTGTGATATTACATTCTGCTGGCCTAGAGGCCTTAGTTCCAGAGGGAGGAATACTGACACCAGGAGACATAGCAACAATTCCATTGAACTATAAGTTAAGACTGCCACTTTAGGCTTCTCCTACCTTTAAGCCAACAAGCTAAGGAGGGAGTTACAGTGTTGGCTGGGGTGATTGACCCAGACTATCAAGATGAAATCAGTCCACTACTCCACAACAGAGGTAAAGAACAGTATGCATGGGATACAGGAGATCCATTTGGGCGTCTCTTAGTATTATCATTCCCTGTGATTAAGGTTAATGGAAACTACAACAGCCCCTCTCAGGAGTAAAGGTTTGGGTCACTCCACCAGGAAAATATCATGACCTGCTGAGGTCCTTGCTGAAGGCAAAGAAATACAGAATAGGTAGTAGAAGAAAGTAGTCATCAATACCAGCTACGACCACGTGACCATCTGCAGCAATGGGGACTGTAATTGTCATGAGTATTTCCTCCTTCTTTTGCTAAAAATATTTGTACATGTATACACTTGTATGAAGAAAATATCTTTATTTTATTTCCTTTATCATATGACATAAGATTTATTGACTTCGTATCAGCACTTAAATATTGTTAACTTTATGTGATAGTGTTTGGGTTGGGGGTTGGTGTGTTTCCAGTTGTACAGAGGACAGTTGTATTACGTTAGGTGTAATTATGACCTTATTATTGTCTTTATTTGAAGATTATGCATGATCTCAGGAGATGTGTGTGGGTTCAACTTGACAAGGGGTGTACTTGTGATGGTTAACACTGAGTGTCAACTTGATTGGATTGAAGGATACAAAGTATTGACCCTGGATGTGTCTTTGAGGGTGTTGCCAAAAGAGATTAACCTTTGAATCAGTAGGCTGGGGAAGGCAGATCCACCCTTAATCTGGTGGACACTGTCTAAATAGCTGTCAGCAAATACAAAGCAGGCAGAAAAACGTGAAAAGGGGAGACTGGCCTAGTCTCCCAGTCGACATCTTTCTCCCTTGCTGGATGCTTCCTGCCCTCAAACATTGGACTCCAAGTTCTTCAGTTTTGGGACTTGGACTGGCTCTCCTTGCTCCTCAGCTTGCAGAAAGCTTATTGTGTGATGTTGTGATCATGTGAGTTAATACTTAATAAACTCCCCTTTATATTTATATAGGAGATATATGTATATGTCTTATATTATATATATCTTATATTATATATATCCTATATTTTATTATATATAAAATATATATATAAAATATAAAACTAACAGGGCATATATATATATGTGTGTGTGTATATATATGTGTATATATCTATGTATGTGTGTGTGTGTGTGTATATATATATATATATATATATATATACATACCCTGTTAGTTCTGTCCCTCTAGAGAACACTGACTAATACAATAGCATTGAATGAACTTTTGTGTTTCTCTGGTGTCAGTTGTAATATCTCCCATTTCATTTCTTACCGAGGTTATTTGGATTTTCTCTCTTCTTTTCTTGGTTAATCTTGCTAATGGTCAATCAATTTTATTTATTTCTTCGAAGAACCAGCTTTTTATTTCTTTTTTTTATTTTTTTATTTTTTGTATTTTTTTTGTTTGTTTTTATTTCATTTAGTTCTGCTATGATCTTGGTTATTTCCTTTCTTCTGCTGGGTTTGGGTTTGGTTTGTTCTTGTTCCTCTAGTTCCTTAAGGCATGACCTTAGATTGTCAGTTTGTGCTCTTTCAGTCTTTTTGATGTAGGCATTTAGGGCTATGAAATTTCCTCTTAGCACCACCTTTGCTGTATCCCAGAGGTTTTGATAGGTTCTGTCATTATCGTTGTTCAGTTTGAAGAATTTTTCAATTTCCATCCTTTTGTTTTTGACCCAGGGCTGATTCAGGAGCAGGTTATTTAATTTCCATGTATTTGCATGGGTTCAAAGGTTCCTTTTGAAGTTGATTTCCAGTTTTATTCCACTGTGGTCTGAGAGAGTGCTTGATATAACTTCAATTTTCTTAAATTTATTGAGGCTCATTTTGTGGCCTATCATATGGTCTATCTTGGAGAAAGTTCCATGTGCTATTGAATAGAATGTGTATATTGCAGCCGTTGGATGGAATGTTCTGCATTTATCTGTTAAGTCCATTTGTTCCAAGGTATAGTTTAAATCCAGTTTCCTTGTTGGCTTTCTGTCTTGATGACCTGTCTAGTGCTGTCTGTGGGATATTGAAATCCCCCACTATTCTTGTGTTACTGTCTGTCTCATTTCTTAGGTCTAGTAGTAATTGTTTCATAAATTTGGGATCTCCAGTGTTAGGTACATATATGTTTAAGATTGTGATATTTTCCTGTTGGACAAGGCCTTTTATCATTATATAATGTCCCTCTTTGCCCTTTTTAACTGCTGTTGTTTTAAAGTTTGTCTTTTTCTGATATAAGAATAGCTACTCCTGCTTCCTTTTGGTGTCCATTTGCATGAAATGTCTTTTTTTCACCACTTTACTTAAAGTTTATGTGAGTCTTTATGTGTTAGGTGAGTCTCTTGAAGGCAACAGATACTTGGTTGGTGAATTCTTATCCATTCTGCAGTTCTGTATCTTTTAAGTGGAGCATTTAGGCAATTTACATTCAATGTTAATGTTGAGATGTGAGGTACCATTCCATTCATAATGTTGCCTGTGTATCTTGGTTTTTTGGGGGTTTTTTTGTTTGTTTGTTTTGTTTTTGGTTTTTAAGTTCTATTTTGTTTTATAGGTCCTGTGAGATTTATGCTTAAAAAGGTTCCGTTTTGATGCGTTTCAAGGATTTGTTTCAAGATTTAGAGCTCCTTTTAGCAGTTCTTGTAGTGGTGGCTTGGTAGTGACAAATTCTCTCAGCATTTGTTTTTCTGAAAAAAACTGTATCTTTCTTTCATATATGATGCTTAGTTTCACTGGATACAAAATTCTTGGCTGATAGTTGTTTTGTTTGAGGAAGCTGAAGATACAGCCCCAATTCCTTCGAGCTTGTATGGTTTCTGCTGAGAAATCTGCTGTCAATCTGATAGGTTTTCCTTTGTAGGATACCTGGAGCTTTTGTCTCACAGCACTTAAGATTCTTTCCTTTGTCGTAACTTTAGATGACCTATGCATTGGCATAACACATAGCAATGTGTCTAGGTCTCTAGCAAGGCCAGGGAATATTTCCTCAATTTTTTCCCCCAGATATGTTTTCCAAACTTTTAGATTTCTCTTCTTCTTGAAGAACACTGATTATTCTTAGGTTTGGTCATTTAATATAATCCCAGACTACTCTGAGGCTTTGTTCATATTTTCTTATTCTTTCTTCTGTCTTTGTTGGATTGGGTTAATTTGAAGAACTTGTCTGAATTTCTTTCTTCTACTTGTTGAATTTTATTGCTAAGACTTTCCAGAAAATTTTGCATTTCTATCTGTGTCCAATGTTTCCTGAAGTTTTTATTGTTTTTGTTTATGCAATCTATTTCATTGACTATTTCTCCCTTCACTTCTTGCATCTTTTTTTATTGTTATTTATTTCCTTGCATTGGGCTTACCTTTATTTGGGGCCTCCATGATTAGATTAATAACTAACCTCCTGAATTCCTTTTCAGGCAAATCAGGGATTTCTTCTTGGTTTGCATCCATTGCTGGTAAGCTAGTAGGATTTTTGGGGGTGTTAAAGAGCCCTGTTCTGTCATATTACCAGAGTTGGTTTTCTGGTTCCTTCTCATTTGGGTAGGTTATGTCAGAGGGAAGGTCTAGGGCTGAAGGCTGTGGTTAGATTCTTTTTTCACATGGGGTGTTTCCTTCACATAGTGTCCTCCCCCTTTTCCTATGGATGTGGCTTCCTGAGAGCCAAGGTATAGTGATTGCTGCCTCTCTTCTGGGTCTAGCCACCCAAAAAGTCTACCAGGCTCTGGGCTAATACTGGGTGTTGTCTGTACAAAGTCCTGTGATGTGAACCGTCTGTGGGTCTCTCAGCCATGAATACCAGCACCTGTTCTGGTGGAGGTGGCAGGAAGGTGAAATGGACACTGTGAGTGTTCTTAACTTTGGTGGTTTAATGCTCTTTTTTGTGTGCTGGTTGGCCTTCTGCCAGGAGGTGGTGCTTTCCAGAGAGCATCAGCTGTGTTAGTATGGAGAGGAACCCATGGCAGGTGGGGCCCTAGAACTCCCAAAAGTATATGCCCTTTGTCTTCAGTTACCAGGATGGGTAGGGAAGTACCATTGGGTGGGGGCAGGGCCAGGCGTGTCTGAACTCAGACTTTTCTTGGGTGGGTCTTGCTGCCACTGCTGTGGGGGATGAGGGCAAGATTTCCAGGTCAATGGAGTTATGTACCTAGGAAGATAATGGCTGCCTCTGCTGAGTTCTGCAGGTTGTCAAGGAAGTGGGGGAGAGCCGGGAGTCACAGGCTTCTCCCAGCTCCCACACAATCCAAAGGGCTGGTCTCACTCCTACCATGGCCCCATCATAGCATCTAGTCTGTTTCCAGGCAATGGGCAAGCAGGGCTGAGGACTTACCGCCGGCTAACCCGCTTCCCAGTTGCAAAAGAAAGTAGGGCTTTAGTGCTTCCACTGTCTGTGGAGTCTACACACAGGATTTGCATCCTCCCCTGAGTCCAAGCAGGAATGGACACTGCTTCCTCTACCCCTGTATTTTGCTTGGCTTTCTAAATTCACACTGCTCCAGGTAAGATCAGAATATTCTCCTATAAACTAGACCTTCAGTTTCCCCAGTGGGGGTGTGTATTCAAGGGCAACGGATCTCCCTTTCCCTGTTTCACAGCCTGGGCACTTACAATATTTGGGGCATCTTGGGGGCCCTGCAGGAGCAATCTGCTTCCTTCAGAGGGTCTGCGAGTACTCTCAGGATTCCTGCTATTCCTGCAGTCATTCTGGGGCAAAATTAACAATGTGAGCCTCCACATCCTGCTCTGTCTGTCTGAGTTATAGCTGCAATCCAGTCCTGACTCCCATCCACCTTGATGGATTAAATTTTTAAAAATAAAACTTTATTTAACTCTTTAACATAACCTTTTATACATTTATTGGTGTGTAATTAAAAATTATGGTTAATACATGTCCCTTTTTCACAGAGACTAATATATTATCAGTTAGCAAGAGACTGTTACTGCTTAATGTGTTTTATTTCACATCAGTTACTTATTAACAGTTGGATTGATTTTTGTTTCATTTGCCTATACTTTAAGAATGTAATACATTCTGGAATGAAGGATACATAATACTCCTCAGTGACATGTATTCCCCATGTTTTCACATTTCTTTCACATTGTGTCACATATTTTTGTGCAAGTTTTGGAGATAATGATCAATCATAGTGGAATTACTATATTTCTGCCTTTATTTTTGGCTTCCACTGAAATATTATAAATATGTTTTCTACTTATAAACAAGTATATAAATTATGTATCCCAAAATATTACAGTTTTAAGTCAATGACCTATCTTTTTAACATAATTAAACTGAACTTTGTAAATGAATAGCTCCACCAACATCTTCTTAACTTTTTAAAGTTATTCTTCCCCAAGGAATAGAATATTATTTTATTGATGAACTTTGCATTAGAGTGAAAGCTATAAATTTTCAGGTCCTGATCCTAATGTAGTCCAGGGTGAATAAATAGTTTTCTAGAGTGAACTCATGTGAGTCACGCTGGCTTTCTAAGTGCCATAGGTTACTACTTAATGCTAAGAAAGTGACAATTTATTAAAGTAATGCTAGAGATTACTAGCATTTTGCTTCACTAGGGTGACTGCATTTTCTTTTTACTTTTTTCACCCCTCATTCCTTTGCCGTTCTCTAAAGAGCAGTTAATTTAGCCTACTTTGTTATGTGATGAGATACCCAAAGACTATCTCTTCTTGCTTTAGGACAATATAATGTCTATCTTTCAGCATGAAAATACAGCCTGCTTTGCAAAATCCCATGGCTCTAAGAGTATATATGAGGTGTTACATTCAGACCCTGCTACAATGCCCTTGGTATGACTAAACTGATTTAAAAAAAGTGGGGGGGGGGGGGCTTCACTGTATATGACTAAAATCTAATTTATCTTCCAAATATTTTTACTTATTTCACTGTAAAAAAAAATCATGGGCATCTCTCTTAGTAGTATAGTGGTTAGCTAAGCTTGTAACCTACATTTAACTGGTTACTGAGTCACTACCATGTCTATATATGGAGTATTTCTAATTTCCATGCTCTTTTCCAATCTCTTTCATTTGATGTCTCACTGGTGACCCCACTCAGAGATGACATATTTCTATCATCATAATATTCCTAACTGATTATCTCTATTCAAGAGCTTTTTCTCCATTTGTCAAGTTTTCTGTGTCTGCAACTACCCTTATTATTCACCTATTTCATTCATTCATCATTTTTTGGCTTACAAAAATTAATAAAATACTTCTCTAGAGTCTTAAAACCCTTTTATTAAAAAATTCAAGACAAAATACTCAAGGTTTCTCTCAGGCCCCATTCCTGTTGCAAAGTGTATATTGCAAACAGAACTGAGATTTGAGAATAGATTTGGTGGAGGAGAGGGAATCTTGAGAGTAAACCACTTTGCTATTTCACAGTGGTTATCATCATAATCATATAAACTATTAGTCAGTCTACTAAATAACTACTACAATGGTTTCCCGTTAGTGTTACATGGGAATCTGCTTATTTCAAGATTTAACCAAGCTGGCCAAGAAACTAAAATTTCATTAATAAAATGATCATCTACGTTATTTAAAAACTCATGCTAAATATTCTTAGAAAGCAATGTAATCGAAATACATTTTCATGATATTTTTGTGTAAGTTTCATAATATTTGGTGTAAGGTTATCCAAAAATATAAATATTACTGAATTATAATTTACTAATCTTATTACAATCTAGGTTCAAATTAGTCATATCTTCAGAAGCATTTATGCTGTTAACTAGGTATTATAAAAACTGTTTATTAATTATAAAAAGTATATATATGAATTATAATAATGTTATACATGTGGAGTCAGATTCAAGTCTTAAAATTGATAGCCCTAAAATTACTGAAATTTTTATTTTTATATCTGAATTACTAGAATCTATATAGTGTATAGTATATATATTTAATAGATGCTTAATAGATGCTGTAGGTTAAGAACTTTACTATTTCTCTTATACACTTAAGCCTATTCTTCTTTAAATATCCTTAAGTATCTGTAATAAGAACCTAACTGTACACTTAGTATAATTTTATATTGCTACATTTTGTTAGTAATAAAAAAACTAAGTGACATCAAATTAATTTCACTAAACATATTTTTCATGTATATATATATGTATACACACATATACATATCCTGAAGATGAATGCCAATTTTCATCATTGTTAAACTTTTAGAAATTGTTAAAAGACATAACACATTCTGCAAAAATGTTTTATACAGTTATAAGTACAATATATAGATTTATAATTTATATATAATATAACAACATAATAATTACCAAACTATCTCACCTTTTGTTAGTTTAATGACAAGTATTCTAGAAAAGGTTTTAGAAACATTTGGTAAATGAATTTGTTGATTTACTTTGCTACATTTTGGTCATGGATTGACGCGAAGTTAGAGAATATGAAATAGGTTTCTCTATTGACACTTTGCGGGTGTCTGCTTCATGAAAGATGAATCTTTTCTTCTAGATACTAAAATGATATACTAAGAGACATAAATAAATAAACACATTTTCATACAAGCATACAATTGTATCACCCAATTCATTCTGCATTCTTCTTTTAGTATCCAATTTACTAATGAAGTGTGAATCTTTGAAAGCTGTGTATTTTTGCTCATTTTTATAAAAGATCTAAATAAGCATTTTTAAATGGTTTCATCTGTTGAATCTTACTCTGTGATTCCTGTCAAAATTTTGTCCTGGTAATTTTTTACATGCTTTCAAGAAAGAAGTGAAATTATTCCCATACTATCATTTATGTTTCAGTTGCCCTAATTTTCCCAGAAAAAAAATCTTTTTCTCATATTGCATTGTCTTTTTCTGTATTTTGTGTTTTCCAAATGTCTTCTGAGAGTTCAGAGACTTTAAAACCTCAAAAATGTTCATGTTACTATGGCAAGAAAACTGAAATGCTATGTGAACAAAGTTGTGTTTTTTCAATGTTTCTACGTGTCAGAAATGAGAAAAAGGTAAATCATTGAGGTTATGTGCCCAAAAAGGTTTAATATAAAGGATAACTGTTCAGACCTCTAGGGAGAAACAATCCTTGAAAATATATTTGTGAACTGAGAAAATACTGCTGTTATTTCTAGCTAGAAATATAGCACTGGCACTCTTGGAACTATTTAAGTGAATTTTGGTGTTATAGCAGAATCTTTAGCAAAAACTATATGCAGTTTAAATGGCAACAAAGTGTATTATCTCAATATTTTAGGTATTTTTCTTATTGAATACCTCTTCTGTAATTTATTGTTACTTTTCTAATATCTATTCAAATAATATTTGATAATTTTAATTTTAGTAAGTGTAGATTTGTTACTGTATTTCAATTAATTAAAATGAGAGCCTATTTATCAACTAAATATATTACTGCTATTTAAATTTTGAGTTAAAGTTTTATAATCCCTAACTAAAAAAATACTCTATCCCTAAAAAAGTACTCTTTTTTTTTTTTTTTTTTTTTGAGATGGAGTCTCGCTCTGTCTCCCAGCCTGGAGTGCAGTGGCGCGATCTCGGCTCACTGCAAGCTCCGCCTCCCAGGTTCACGCCATTTTCCTGCCTCAGCCCCCCGAGTAGCTGGGACTACAGGCGCCCGCCACCACGCCCGGCTAGTTTTTTTTTGTACTTTTTTAGTAGAGACGGAGTTTCACCGTGTTAGCCAGGATGGTCTCGATCTGCTGACCTCGTGATCTGCCCACCTCGGCCTCCCAAAGTGCTGGGATTACAGGCGTGAACCACCGTGCCTGGCCAAAAATACTCTATTTTTTAATATTCTACATCAAAGCCCTTTATATTAGAGGTGATTTCATTTTTTTTTCAAATTATTAAACACATGACTGTGACTATGACTTAAATATGTGCCTCTTTTGTGAAAATTTTAATAATTAATTTGAACCTCAATTTGTCCTACCATATATTTTTTTTCTAGTCATAAAGTTGAAATAGAATGTCAAATAATTAAAACCAAATATATTATTTTCACAAGTATGGAAGGCAACAATAATCTACTGGGAATTTATTTTCCCAACTTTATGGCAGTTAGTGGAATGTGGATTTAGTAAAATTATAAGGGCTATTTTTGTTTTAATAAATATTATTTATTGTTTTTTTCTTAGATCAATAACTGTATCTCTTAGACAAACCATGATAGCAATATCCATATGATTAACCAAGTGAAAAAAAAAAACTGCAGAAAAGCAAATGATAGTAGTAACACACAGGGCACTGTAAAGGGAAGAAAAGTCATAGCCAAAGTAATTATAGATAGGGAGTTTTCAGAGAACATAATGTGAGGTTGGAATATAAATATATGCTAAATTATTCCATGTGTATTTCACAGCTGCACTCCAATTCTGACAAAGGTGATGGATCTGTCAAGTACATCCTTACTGGAGAGGGTGCTGGGACTATATTTATCATTGACGATACCACGGGTGATATCCACTCAACAAAAAGCCTAGACAGAGAGCAGAAGACCCACTATGTGCTTCATGCTCAAGCTATTGATAGACGTACAAACAAACCTCTTGAGCCTGAATCCGAGTTCATCATCAAAGTGCAAGACATCAATGACAACGCTCCAAAATTCACAGATGGACCATACATTGTTACTGTGCCTGAAATGTCAGATATGGGTAAGAAAAATCATTTTTGTGATTATGCAATTAACATATTAAGAAAATCAAAAAGTCATCTTTAGAATACCAATTTTTACTTATATATATATATCTGGAGGGGATATAAATATGAAGTTTCAAAATATTTTAGTATTTTTTGTGGCATAAAGTGTTAAAGACTATTGGGTCTAGCAATTATATTCATTGAAATTGATTTCTAATCATGTAAGTGTAGGTAATAGTTGGATCTCAAGGGGAAAGAAACATGTATAAATTTGAAAACACGTGGAATACTTGCTTAATTGATATGGCTCTTCTATCACGTGAATTCTACATGTATATTGTTAAGAACATACCAGCACATTCAATTTGATTATTTGCAGAGAAGAAAGATTCTAGAATGTCTGAAATTTTTGTCTCCAGGTCTTTTAAGCTTTCAGTGTATGACCAAATTATAATACCATTAATAGCTGTTGCTACATTAATCAATACAACTTTTCAGATATTCCTAAGCATTTATATACCTTATTTATTTAAAAATATATGACAGCCCCGTGAAGTATTTTGAATATCATTTTTAAGATGTGCAAACTGGCATAAAGTATTTAAGTCACTTTTGCAAATTCACATATTTAGAAAATAGCCAAGGAGGCATTTTTCCAGGTTTAGCTGAATGCAAAGCCTACACTGCAGCCAACAGAACCATGATCCAGGACCTGAGCCACCCTAATGATCTGGGGCTTTTTCACCACTCACTGGTTTCTGTGGTGTAGCTATTTGAATTTATTTTTGTTTATTTTTCATTTCATGGGATGATTTTTTAAAAAGTAGTTTAAAAATGGTTCTTCTACGATAATACTTTTCGACTATCTTTATGAGACTCTAAGCTTTGTAACACATTTATTGAGTAAAGATTTAATATATTTAATTTTACTGCATATGTATGAGTATTGTTTTAGATTGAGGTTCTTATAGTCACTTAGTCACTAATCAAATCAGTCTGTGAATTTGAAATATATATATGTGTATATGTATATATATGTATATATATTTTTTAAAAATGGAAGATGGTAGCATCTTTTCTCTCAACTCCAGATTCCAGCCCATGTTAGTCTTCTTGAGCTAGGCAGGTAGCTCCTGCAGCTGCTGTAGGAGCAGGTAAGGAAGAGAGTGAGGTCTTCTTCCTTAGCTGAAGTCTCAGAGGAGAAAGCAGTTGCCAAACTCGTTCCCTCTGGACCCCAGCAGAACACAGGAACCAGCCTGCAGGAGCCTAAGAGAGGCCCAGAATACTGTCGGGCTTATTGATCTCCAAGGAGAGTCGAGGGAGAATTAAAGGCTTCAGCATTTTTTAACCCTGGTGGGTGAGAGTTTGCATGGGAACTCAAGGACAGAATTCTCTCTGCCACATCAAGGAACTGATACCCACAAACCTAATCTCCTCTGCCTTAGGAAGGCAACGAGCTCTATGGTGCTCCCACCTGTGAGAGTGCTCCTGGTGAGCTATTTCCAAGGTAAGTAAGGGCCCCAAGGAGCACAAAGGAAACTGTCATAACCACAGGGGTTAAAGCACTAGAGAGAAAAACAGGCAGAGCAGGCATTACCCAGGAAGACAGTATACTAAACAGTAGCCAATACGAGCATTGGAGGGCTTTTATGGATGCCACAAACAGATTTCTGTAACTCAAAGCCTTTTGCTTTAAACAAATAAGTAAATAACAACAACAAAGAAAGTCAATATATGGATTGAAGGCATGAATGGTAACTGATTAGACCTGAATTATTGTCCTGGTACCTAAAATCATAACTGACTGGAAGAAGTAGCTAGTAGCCACAGAAACAAACATAAAATTGTGGATATTGTGGGAAAAAGAAAGGAGATTTAGAGAACATATTCATTAGACCTATCATGTGAATAACATGTGTCCTTAGAGAAAAATAAAGAGGAAATGGGGGAAAGGAGCAATCATAATTTTTCTTGAAGTGAATAATATACTGACTTTACAAGTTTAGTAGACTTTCCAAGTTCCAGGAAGAGTAAATAGAATAAGAATCAAACATAGGAAAATCCTGGTAAAGTTTTAAAGCCTAATAAAAAGAGAAAAATTTAAAAACATTCAGATTTTTAAAAATTAGGTGTGAATAAAAATGAATATGTTACCCTCACATTTATTACATGAAATAGAGGAATCTGTTAGAAAGTTGAGTCCCATTTACGGCCTACAGAGAAAACACTGAAGCCCCAAATCTATTGTTTAGACAAATATGATCCATCAGCTAGGGCAAAATAAATATTTGGAGAAGGATCTGGAAGATCAACAGTTGAAATTGAAAATAGTTGAAATAAATCAGAACAGAGATCTAAAAGTCAAGGAAAATAACAGAGAGGAAAAATGTTATCAACAGTGAACTCTGGAATAGATGTGTGTGTGTGTGTGTGTGTGTGTGTGTGTGTGTGTACACTGAGTTAATACAAATGGATATTTTTGAGATATTGTAAAAGGATGCCACATAATCTATGTGAGAATCATAAGGCATAAAGTAATTTTTGCAGAAAAGGCTGTGAGTTGAGGACTTGGGAACAAGTCAAAGTCCTCATTTGGGGTTTGGGAAGAAAGATGAGAATAGTGAAAAGTTAATATTCTTAAGTTCTCTTACTGAGATGAGTATGGTTGAGGGACAAAAATTTAATATCTGAAAGTAGTAGAGAAAAAGAACAAGACAGAGTAAGTTTCAACTCTCTGTACTACTGTGGTTTCAGGCAAGATTCTATTGAAAGAGTTATTTTATGGGAAACCTTAAGCTGAATATTGGAAATTATATTTTATCAGTAAGTTTGTGTGTGTGTATATATACACTCATTACTATAGGAAAACAAATACATAGCATTCATGGTAATAACATATAATAGATATTGTAACATGAATGCATAGAGGATGATATGAAAGTGGAGGGAGAAACTCACTTTATATTGTGTTCATAAGAATGGGTGATATTTTCATTAACTCTGATTTTTTTTTTTTTTTTTTTTTTTTTTTTTTGAGACAAGAGTCTCACTCTGCCGCCCAGGCTGGAGTGCAGTGGCATGATCTCGGCTCACTTCAACCTCTGCCTCCCAGGTTCAAGCAATTCTCATGCCTCAGCCTCCCAAATAGCTGGGATTACAGGCGTGTGCCTCCAGGCCCAGCTAAAGTTTGTAATTTTAGTAGAGACGGGGTCTTGCCATGTTGGCCAGGCTGGTCTTGAACTCTTGGTCTCAAATGATCCGCCCTTCTGGGTCTCCCAAAGTGCTGGGATTAGAAGTGTGAGCCACTGTGTCTGGCCAACTCTGATTTTAGAAACAAAAAGTTGATGATATTATAGGCAAAGATCTGCAGACAATGGCAGGGGGAACAAATCTGTCCTGCTCTCTGTTTTTGTGCTTTTATTGAAACACAGTTACACTCCTTTACTTGAAGATTGTCTGTGGTAGTTTTGGCACGGCAATGGCAGAGCTGGATGTTTGGGAAGAAGGTCATATCGCTGGCCCACAATGCCCAAAATATTTACAGTGTTATCTTTTATTAAAAAAAAGAGTTTGTCAGTCTTTATTGTAAGCTATTATAGGGAGATCAGAGGCAAGGAACAATTAGAGGATGGTGTCATAGTTTTGATAGACAAGGTATCTGCTGATCTATAGCAGTTAGTGTTCTGCCAGCCCTACTGGACTATATACATATAGACAGAAATATAGCGTTTGTTACAAATATATGGGATCATGCTTCTTCCCTTTGGGTAGATACTGTTAGTTATCTAATGACTATCCAGGCTTCCCTTCTGTGATACTAAGATAGCCTAGTTTTGTTAGAGAATACAGCTGTGTTGCAGAATATGCATGTACATGCACAGAAGATATCTAAAGGAAATAGACACACACACATTGTTGAAGGTTTGCTTCTAAACACTAGGTTGTGGCTTTATTTGGTATGAAAGGAATAAGTGGTTCTAAATATGTAATAAAAATCATTTTTATAACACTAACACTTAAAAATGTACTGGTTTCTAATGCTAACTGAAGACTAATAATAATGTAAGCAGGTGACAACAAAATTTTTATCAACGTATGGGGCCTGATAAAATTACTTTTTTTATCATATACTCATTAATTCAGTTTTGAATCATTAAAACAATCTCTCTCCTTATATTTATTCAATTCTTTCTTGAGTGAGAGAGAGAGAGAGAGAGAGAGTAAATGCACTTTATGTGCTGAGAGCTGTGATAGTGGCTAGTAATAAAATGGTTAATGAAACAAGACCACTATCTTTGAGCAAACTGCAGACTTACAAATAGAAAATTTCAATATGGTGTCTGATAAGCACCAATAGGGGAACCGTAGACTTGGACAGGGGGCCCTGCTTGTGGATGAGAGAAGACGTCCTCAGTGAATCTTAAATAATGCTTGGTGATTTATCTGTTAGAAAAGGTAAAATAAATGGACATTTGACATACAGGATAAAATGATTAAAAAAAAATAGTCCAGCTTGGGATGTGTGTCCGTGTGTGTGTGTGTGTGTGTACCCATGCGTGTGCATTTGTGTGTTTTGGGGAAATAGGAAGATCATGCAAATAATAGATTTTCTATATAGCTTTGCAAATATGTCACAAGAATACAGAAAAGGCAGTACCAGAGACTTCCTTGGTGTGTAAGATTTTATCAGATTATTGTTTCTTGCATCTCTTGCTAAGTAATGATTATGGAGCCACTCCAAGTAATTGCACTGCGCTATATTGCCAGTGAGAAAAGCATAATGTGGTTGTATATTTCTTGTCGGTGGGCAATAATCTGCCGACAAAGTCTGAGACATTTTGGATAGCTCAGTACAGAAAGATGCAAAAATAAACTGAAGTGGTTTCTAAAGCATGTCTTAATGTAAGATTTGCATGTATCTTTTTGATCTATATAATGTAATTTCACCCATTATCTAGGGAATTATATTCTTCTAGGAACGAGTTTTTCAATCTTTCCACTATTAACACTTTGGACTGGATAATTCTTTGTTGTGAGGGTCTTCCCTGTGCCTTGTAGGATGTTTAGTAGCAGTCATGGCCTGTACCTAATAAATGCGGTGGTGTTCCTCCCACAACCACAAAGTGATGGTGTCTTCAGAAATTGCCAAATGTCCTCTGGGTGACAAAAATGCTGTCAGTTAAGAACTACTGCCCTAGGGAACATGCAATATAAAGAATTAAAAATGTCAAAGTAGAAACACAAATTGAATAATATATTTGTTAAATTTATAATCCTGTCCAGAGAGACTTTCATAGTGCCAGAATGCTCATGCCGTGAACTTTAAAACAAAAATATGTTCTATCTGGCTAGGTAAGAAATTGCAGTGTTTAAATATTAATTGTCATCTTGAAGTGCACAATAGTATGAAAACACTGAGGAAAGTCGTAGAATAAAATGAAGTTATTTGCACCCATAAAAGGAAGAGTAATGGCGTGGCTACTTGGGAGCCATGATGGCTCTCATTAAAAAAAAAATTGTGTATTGTATAGCCTGCATTTAGAAGACCACTTGAATTGTGTTTGGTTCCTAGTAAGGTACTGGCTGTCATATATGTGTGTGTGTGTGTGTGTGTGTGTGTGTGTGAGACATGTATATACACATGTATATATGTACATATATGTATGTATATATACACGTATATATGTATATATGTATACATATATACATACATATATGTACATATATACATGTATATATACATATATGACATATATACATATATACATAGATGACATATATACATATATACATAGATGACATAGATGTACATATACATGTATATTTACATGTATACATATAGATAAGTATATATATACGCATACACTATACATATTTATCTAAATAATTTCAACAGTAAACATATGTGAACAGAATGGCATTATAACATTATTGCGGGCAAATGTAACCTGGATTAATCCATAATAGATGTACATATTTGATCAATGCAAATTTGAGATTTTAAATTTTCCTTTTTTTGTGATATGCAGTACATTATCATGTCAGTCTTGATCTTTACCAACTTCTATCAATTATTTAATGGAATTACTTCTTCAATTTCTTTCTCTATAGTTACATTACATGCCTAATTTATATAGTCTTCAGAACCGACAGTTAAAATATGAGATAATGAGTTAATGTGTTTATCACAATACAAAGATGAAAATGACCATGAGATGAAATGATACTTGGTTTTTGAGTTAGCTGTCAAGTGAATGATTTTAGAAATTAAGATGAATAAAAATGTATTTGTAAATGGTATTACACTTTTCACATGAAAAGCACATCATAACTCACTAAGAAATTTAGCAATAATACAAAGACATAAAATTAGCAATAAAAAGCTGGTAAAGGTGTTTGTCTTAATTGTGTGTATCGTATCTCTTTTATTTAAAACAAGAATAATTTTATCTGTTCTCTTTTTATGGAGACATTCTCAAATTTCTGCAATTACAGTCTTGCTTTCACCTAGAATCAGGAGTTTCTATAACTGTATTAACTGAAATTTGTTTCTATTGCAGTCATTTTTTTTTAAATGTTTTAAATCTAGAAGTTGTTTCAAAAAGATCATATAACAGATCACAATGTAATTTGGCAGAACATAAACTTTACTATTTTCTTTTTCAAATAAATATTTCTGTATGAAAATGTACAAATTTTTAACTCTTCTGTGTATTAGTATACCTATCATTAAATACCATTTAAAAGCATTTAACAGGTAGTAACAGGTTATAGAAATAGTACTTTTTAATGTATGAGAGAGAATAAATATTATATTTTAACAGAATTATAAGTATACATTTAATAAACTGTAGGTTCAATATAACAAACTTATTTTTGCAGCTACAAAAAGGAGATTGTTTAACTGCAAAGTTCCTTTTTCTTGGAAATGTATTGAAACATCTCTAATCTTCTTCATGTCTTTTTTTTTCACCTCCAATCTCTAAGGCCCCAGGCTGTTCCATTTGCAGCTGTGTTTCTTGCTGCAGAGCAACAAGAAGAGACACCAGCTGTGCTGACTTTATTGTGCTTCTTGTTGGAGCGCTGATTTAGTTCTGCCAAATATCTTGGGATGTTCACCCTGGACATCTGCCAAGATTCTAGTAGCCATTTAAAAATCATTACCCTGGGGCATAATGTTCAGAATGGTATCATTTTAATAAAGCACAGCCAGCACTCTAATTCTACATGGAACATTGCAGTATTCATGAAGAGACACATTGGACAACTGACAAACCAGAAAGTAGACAAAATTTTGCAAGTTTCATAATTTTCTTCTTTATTTGCATAACTATTCTTCTGTGTAAGTTAGCTTGTGTTTTGTACAAACCAACCCACCCACAGTTTAGTGGCCACACACAATATTTGCTTTATTTGCTCATAATTCGGTGGTCCAGGCTGCTCTTCCACTAGGGTCATACATTGCGCTGTAGTCATCTAGGAGCTCGAACAGCGCAGGTGCCTCCCTCACCTGCAGTGGTGGATGCTGGTTACCAGCTGGTTTTTCTGGGGTCTTAGCTGGGTGGCTTGTCTCTGATCCATGGTATCTCATCCTCCAGGTAGGGACCTGCTTTGTGTGCATTCTTAGGGCAGTAGTTCAAGAGGATAAGAGCAAAAATATTAAGGGTTTTAGAGAGGAGTCTCAGAAGTTCTGTTTTTCCACTTTTGCTGCATTCTGTTATTGTATCCCCTCACTTGAAGCAAGATATTCTCTAAATGTTTATTGAACAAGTACATGACAACCTTTTCCACCTACAATTACGTCTAGAGGAAAGATTTCTTAGAAATATTGGCTCTTAATTTTTGGAACATAATTGTTCCAATATCTGTTTCATTGGGTAAAGATTCTTTTTATTTATTTTATATATCTTTAACTTCGTTGTTGTAAATTAAAGAAAGGCCCAATAAACCAACATAGTTTTTAACTTTTATTCAATGATTGATGTGATTTACTAGATTGCATTTTACTCTTCAAGTGATTCCTCAGTCTTTCCATTTACTTTTTTTAAACTTATATTTTAAGTTCAACGGTATATGAACAGGATGTGCATATACCTATGTGACACATAGGTAAACATGTGTCATGGGGTTTGTTGTATAGATTATTTCGTCATTCAGGTATAAAGCCTAGTAACCATTAGTTATTTTTCCTGATCCTCTCCCTCTTCCCACCCTCTGCCCATTGGTAGGCCCCAGAGTACATGGTTACCCTCTTACCACTTACTTTTTATGAATGTAGGCCAGACTTGGAATTCCCTAATAAAACTGGTCAATTTGCAAGAGAAAATACTTAACTAGAAGATACATATTTTTCTGCATAAATTGTACCACATTCATACAGATTTAATTGGTACATCATGTTTTAAAAAATATGATAGCCAAAGAATGACTTTCATATGTATAGGCCTCAATGTAGAAAACTGAAACACAAAACAAACCAGTCAGAGATTCTTGGCAGTTTAAAGAGGCAGGTTTTGTGTAGGTAATTCTAAAAAATATAATAAGTGAAATTATTGCAGTGATCAATGGATCATTGAGGTATATAATTTGGCTTTGGAATGTAGCACTTCTCTTAAAGTAGAGAATGTCTTTTTTAAAGAAAATAAACAGCAAAATATTTACTACAATTGATCTTAGAGCAACCTTGGCTTATTATTTTAGCACCTTCCACCTTTACTTATAAATTAGTTTGAAATCACCTGATATTATAGTGGTCCGTAGTCCCTTAAAAATATATTTTAAAAATCTCAGTATCATGTGCACCTAACAAAGTGTCTAAAACTAAATAGGTAATAAATAAAATATGTATAGAATGAGTAAACCCAAATTATATACATTTTCACAGAGACAGAGCTATTCTTAAATGTGACATTTTTTCTATATTTATCATATCCATTCATGAATCGATTTTCTCATTAGAATCATTCTTATTCATTACATAAATTGACTGGAATGTCACATATATAGATCCTAATAATAACAATTTATGTTGTTTCTTTCTTACTGAGGAAATAGAATAAAGCAAAAAATCTCAAAATTGATACTTGTCATCATTCAAGTATCACTAAAAATATTAATCAGTCGATGTTGTTGTCCCTATCTTTTAATCAAAGCATATAAATTAAAATTGTTTGTATCATTTTATAAGTTGAAAAAGATTTTAAGCAAATGCTGAAATTACTGTATTAGGACATATACTGAAATTTTATTTTATTTAAACAATCAGGATATGTGATAATCCCCCTCACTTTTAATTGAACCTGATTTCTAATTCTGTTTGGATAATTTTATTGGTAGGGGGGCATAATTTTGGATAGTTTTGTCCATTTCCTAGGAGTCAGGTGTTCAGTGAATGTTCAGTGATCAGGCACAGAGAGAAAGCTCAATGTCAGGGATGTGGAATAGGCCCAGTGATTAGATATAGAGTGAAGGCACCAAGTAATCTGAAAAAAACACACACATACAAAATGACCAGGTTTATGGTCAAGGCATAGTGACCAGGCATAGAGTGAAAATGGCACAGCAGTCAGATATAAACATTGCAATCAGGTATAGCTGGAAGGTGCAATGGTCAGGTATAGACAGAAGACAAAATGATCAGGTTTAGAGAGAAAGTATAGCATCAGATATAGTGAGAAGATACAGCAATTGGGTATAGAATGACTACACAGTGATTGGGTGTAGAGAAAATTCACCATGATCAGATAGAGAGTGAATGCACAATGGTCAGGTATAGAGGGGAGACACAGCAATTGGATATAGAAAAAAAACACTGTGAAGGTAGAAGGTGAGGGCACATCACGCAGAGAGAAGGCCGCATGTGGAAGAGGACTGGCAGTGCCATCACAGGTCTCTACTGCTTTCTACCAGACTTCTGTGTTCTCACTGGTTTTCATTGATCAGTCCTTGATCATCATGAATTCATTCTCTCTGTCATAATTGCACATCTTCTTGAAATCCTCTGAGTTTCTCTCAGCCAATTTCACTTCCTATTTTAGTATATAGAGAAATTTTCTTGTACTCATACTCTGGCAAGGAGAAAACTTTGAAATCCAGTTTGGATATTATTGTCCTGCACAAGCTAAATGGCCAATTTAAATCTTCTCCTGCTGTGCCACACAGAGACACCATGGAATATTGTGGAAGTTGCGACCTTTCATAAAAGCGGTGCTACTCTCTAAGTTTATCACAACAGTCCATGTAGATACCAAGAAAAAAGCACCCCCACACATAGAACCAAATGTGATAGCTTTTGTTATATGCAACGTTTGTAGTAATTTATTACGTAGTATAGAAAACAAACACACACAAAAAAACTAGAAAAATATAACTATGCAACAATAAGCAACGTGGAATGTAAGATAGCTACAGAAATTATATTAAACATCTATTACTTTAATTATATAAGAATATATATTACAAAAGAAGATATCATTATTTATCTTTCAAGATCAATAATTTACTAGAATATTATTCCGTAGTGATTCTTCTGTGTCATGTCTCCCCCACCTGTGAAGCTGTCTATAATTTTATATTTTTTTGAGACAGTCCCCCAGGCTAGCTAGAGTGCAGTGGCAGCACGATTATGGCTCACTGCAGCCTTGATCTCCGAGGCTCAAGTGATCCTCCCTCCTCAGCCTCCCACCTAAAGGCGTGTGCTACCATGCCCGGCTAATTGTTGTATTTTTATTAGAGACAGGGTTTTACAATGTTGCCCACACTGAACAAAATTTTAATTGTTACGTTCAAGTGTTCTTTATTAGTGGATTTTGAATTCTTGTGTTGTATCTTAATAAAAATGTTCTGGTCCATTATTTCAAGTGCTTTATTCAGAGATACCAACTTAAATTGTT
The DNA here is from genome assembly GCF_000001405.40 of Homo sapiens. NCBI lineage: Eukaryota > Metazoa > Chordata > Mammalia > Primates > Hominidae > Homo > Homo sapiens. The sequence continues at coordinate 19,736,063 of NC_000005.10, read as the reverse complement.
CACTTAATTTTCATAGTTGTCATAAATACTCAAATCATAAATGTCTCATCCAATTATTTCTAAAATTCTTTTAATTCTTTCCTCCAATTAAATTACCTGAATTTTCAAAAAAATAATCTTTTACATAATTGTCATGTAGATATCCATGAAAAATTATTGGGTGGGGTAAAAATGCACAGTGTTTTGTTTAGTGTATGTATATATGCATGAAACTATATTAGAGCCCTTTGAATGAACAGAGATAGAGTTATAGAAAGGCAGGCAAGACAATGTTCAGGTTGCCTTCCTTAAGAGAAATAGCACTGGACTTGTATTTATTTTTCTTACGAAGTATAGGTGTGACTTCTCTAACTTAAAATATCCAGTATCGGCTGGGCACAGTGGCTCACATTTGTAATCCCAGCACTTTGGGAGGCCGAGGCGGGAGGATCATGAGGTCAGGAGATTGAGACCATCCTGGCTAACATGGTGAAACCCCATCTCTACTAAAAATACAAACAATTAGCCGGGCGTGGTGGTGGGCGCCTGTGGTCCCAGCTACTTGGGAGGCTGAGGCAGGAGAATGGCGTGAACCCAGAGGCGGAGCTTGCAGTGAGCCGAGATCACGCCACTGCATTCCAGCCTGGGCGACAGAGCGAGACTCCGTCTCAAAAAAAAAAAAAAAAAATCCAATATCATCAATACATTGAACAAAAAGAGATTGAATGGGAGTGGTTTCCTATTGTCTTTTCAGCAAAGAGATATAAGAGCAGCACTTATGTTGCGACTGCTTTATAACTAAAAATACACTGGGATCAGATTCCATGTGATTAAAGCAACCACTGAGACCAATTGACAGCGACATAAAGAACTTAGTGACATAAAGAACCAAGTGACATTTCATGGACTCTGTTCCACCATGTTTAACTTTCTGTCTTAAATATACATTTATATAATGTAGTGAGCCAATAATATTCTACTGTCTATACTTTTATTTACCTGGTTAGATGCTTTGCAAACACTCACCTGTGTTATGGAGGGTAGTGACTCAGCAGCATTTGCCTCCGAGGGAGGACAGCTTGCAACAAAGCCACACCAGCCCAACCACATTTCAGAGTATGTGAGTGAGAAATCAACTTTTATTGCTTAAAGACTCTAAAATTTAGGGTTTGTTTGTTATTGCAATATAACTTACACTTAGATATATCTTTCTGATATATCACCCCTTGACATGTCAGAGACCATACACCAAAAAGAAACCATAAATATTTCAAAAAGAAACCACAATAATAAGATAGGGTACCAACAGTGGATAAGAGATTCCAAAAATTCCTAGAGCACTGAAGACATTGAAACTGGATTAATGGGCAGGGGGTGGGCAGCACTGGGAAATAGATCAAATGTATAGCCCTAAACATTAAAGGAGAACATTATCTTGTCCAAGAAAGTCCTTGTAAATACAAGACACCTGGACAACTTATTAAATTGAAGCTTTCAAAACAAGGAAGAGTCTTTTTTTAATCTGTGCAATCCGAGAAAAAATATTTTTATTCTACCATAAGGCCTTTGGTGAATTTTTCTGAGGATGGCTCAAAAAAGGAATATTGTGACACAAGAATTAAGCAGAAATTAACTTCCAGTAAACCAAAACGTCCATATCACAGGGGAACAAAAACAAAATAAAAGAAAACAGTTCTTATCAATAGACAAATATCACAAGTCCCCTCTTCTGATGCAGTTACTCCTGCTTTGGAAATAGAAGGGTACTCAACAAGCTTGGAAAGAATATCAATGCATTCCAGCCACACTTACTAAGAGGTAGCATTCCAATTGAAAGGGGAAAACATCAACTCAGTTTTTAAATGATAATGTGCTATTTCTCTTTCAATCAACCAGCTGCTTTTTTTTGTTTCATTTTTTTGGAAATAAAGCAACAAGATAAAAGACAAGGATTAAAATGAACAAACAGAATAATGATTAACTGCAGAGAACACTGTGAAATTTTGTTGCATTCATTAAACAAGAACAGCATAAAGGTGACACAGGACTTTTCTTGCCCCATTTGCCGGACCTGCAGCAGGGAACACCCCACCTACTCAGCCCACTGCGCTCAGCCCCTGGCAGGAGTGAGCATGTAAGCAAGCAAGTGTGGGGTCTGGCCAACTGCTTTGAGCATCAACACATGAGCAAGTTCTGTGTGAGGCTGCAGTAAGATCAGATGTGTCACCCTGAGGGGAATTTGATGATGCCCAGGCAGTGGTGCCTGAGACACCCAAGCCCCAGAGGGGATGTTACAGGATGCTAATTAGCTGTCTGCTGTCCAGTGGAAAGAGGCGTGTTAGCAGCTCAGTCAGCCTTTTACCCTGCTCTTGCCCATGACTCCAGGACTAGCATGGCTCTGGGACTGGCTTGGACCTGCTGCTGCTTCTGTCATACGAGGCGGCTGCCCTCCATCAGCAAGGTCAGAGGGCCAGTGTTATAGACTTTCTGGGCACCCTCATTTGGTGGGTCTTGAGCTCTTGTCCCACATCCAAGAAGAATGAGGTCATACTGATAGTTGAAGGGTAGTGAAGGCAGAGAATTTTATTGAGTGACCAAACAGCTCTCAGCGGAGAAGAGATGGGAGAGTTGGGTTGTCTCTCTTGAAGTCAGGTCATCTCTCTGTGTGGCTGAGTCTGCAGCTTTTATAGGCATAGGATAAAGAAGTATGTACTGATCCATTCAAGAGTTTGGAAAAAGGTTAAAACAAAGGCACCAGTCAAAGGTGGGAACAGTGTAAAAACAATTAGGAAAGGGTAGGTATATGTAAAATAGGTGAAGGGTGAAGCTCAATCAAAGGAAAGCACTACAAAGAGGAAGACAGGTTCTCTATCTGGTCTGTGAATTTGACTTGTAGCTTGGTCTTCAGGCTTTGAACTGTCTTTGGCTTGAAGATGAGGTTTCATGGGATGCCCACCCCTGGTATGCCTAGGATTTCTCTGCCTCCTGCCTGTGTCATTTCCTCCTCTGAAGAGGTGCATCTAACTGCTGTTAGAATAGGGATCATGACCGATATTAGCTACTCCCTGCTGACAGGGGATGCTGTTTTGGGAAAACGGAACTCAGATTTCCCTCAGAGGCCTATCTGAGGGTTCCTGGTAAAAGGGAGCTATCATCAGAGGCTCCAGTTGTGTGACCATTTAAAGTTTGACAGCCTGTAGGTGAGAAGAAACAAGTTTTACAAGGTTAAGTATGCATGGATCAAATATTAACTTCTCACACAAAAAACAGTTAAAAGGAAAGAATCTAGTGCCGAAGATAACAGATATAAGAGATGAAATATACTAATCATTCTGAAAACAATATTGTGTCCCAAGCTGTTTCACCCTGGTGAAACAAATTAAATCTTAGGTGGGAGCAATTAAACTTTACAAGAGAGATAACTGTTTAAGAAAGTAGATATTCCCATGGGTGTTCAGGATTAAGGAGTCCTTCATAAAGTTACCTTATGGGCTTAATTACTATAAAGGCTAAACAAGAAATGCTTGATTTTGATGACATAGCTGTGTCACAATTTATTTTATTTATTTATTTATTTTTTTGAGACAAGGTCTCACTCTGTCACGTAGACTGGAGTGCAGTGGCATAATCATAGCCCGCTGCTCTCACTCTGTCATGTGGACTGGAGTGCAGTGGCATGATCATAGCCTGCTGCAGCCTTGAACTCCTGGGCTCAAGACCCTCCTGCCTCAGCCTTCTGATTAACTGGGACTACAGGTGTGTGCCACAACATCTGTATAATTTTTTATTTTAAAAACTTTTTTTTTTGTAGAAACTAGGTATCTCTATGTTGCCCAGGCTGGTCTTGAATATCTGGGCTCAAACTCCTGAGCTCAACTTGGCCTCCCACAGTTCTGTGATTATAGGTATGAGGCTATAATTTTTTTAAATTATGGGAAGGCACTAGGCCTTTCTCATAGTTTTAAAAAATGCATTAATTTTTTTTTTTATTTTTTGAGACAAGGTCTCACTCTGTTACCCAGGCTGGAGTGCAATGGCACGATCAGGGCTCACTGCAGCCTTGTCCTCTGATGGTCAATTGATTATCCTACCTCAGCCTCCTGAGTAGCTAGAACTACAGGTGTGTACTACCAGGTCTGGCTAATTTTTGTGTGTTTTGTAGAAACAGGGTTTTGCCATGTTGCCCAGGCTGGTCTTAAACTACTGATTTTAAGCAATCCACCAGCCTCAGCCTCCCAGCGTGCTGGGATTGCAAGTGTGAGCCACCATGCAGACTCATGCATTAATTCTTGATGGTGACACCATTACTTTCAACTTCATTAAGTAAAATGGAAGCTTATCTCAAGAAACCATTTCTAAAACATGTCACACATTAGAGAGATAATTGATAGAATACTTCGACGATTATTTGAGTTCTTAAACATTCTCTCTCTGTATATATGTATTTGTCAGGTTCTAATATGCTGAGTAATTCAAGTTTTTGAATGCAAAGGCATCCAGATTCTCATTTTAAAATAAGAATCTGCAACAGATTGAGTATCTCTAATTCCAAAATCTGAAATTCAAAATGCTCCAAAGTCCAAAACTGTCTGAATGCTCACATGATGCTGAAGATGACATTTGTTGTTGTTGTTGAGATGGAGTCTCACTCTGTCACCCAGGCTGGAGTGCAGTGGGGCTCTCTCGGCTCACTACAAGCTCTGCCTCCCAGGTTCATGCCATTCTCCTGCCTCAGCCTCCCGAGTAGCTGGGGCTACAGGCGCCCGCCACCACACCTGGCTAATTTTTTTTGTATTTTTAGTAGAGACAGGGTTTCACCATGTTAGCCAGTATGGTCTCGATCTTCTGACCTCGTGATCCACCCGTCTCGGCCTCCCAAAGTGCTGGGATTACAGGTGTAAGCCGCTGCGCCTGGCCGAAGATGACATTTTTTAACACTGAAGAGAAGTGCCTATATGATGAAAATGTGTGATAGGTTCATTGTAGGACTAGAGTAGTGTGCATTTGTAACAGAATAAAAAATCTTGTCCATCTATAAAATCAAAGATGTAAACCACTGCTAATAAGGCAAGTGACTCTAGAGAAAAATTTTAAGTAGCCATCCAGCAGAAAGCCTCCTCATCTCCACAGGAACCACTTCCTGTTCCCTCAATTGCTTCTGATGTTTATTCTCTCCTAAAAAATATATAGTAGACAGTAACATTTTAGTTTATTGTTTAATGGCTAATATATGTATTCTGGTGATGCTGTTCTTCTACTTAGCTACTACAAATGCATTACTTTTTCACTGCATTAATTGCATGCTTTTTTTTTTTTACCATTTAATACTTCTGTGTGAAAATGATTGTTTAGCAGTAGCAATATAAATTCAGAGTCAGAAATAGTGGTGATGCCAAACAACCACAGATTGTCCACATAGGTGGCTGAGATACTGCTTTCTGATGGTTTAATGTACACAAATATTGTTTCATTCACAAAATTATTAAAAACATAACTTACTTTCAGTCCATAGAAATAAGATGCATATGAAATTTAAATGAATTTCGTATTTAAACTTGGGTCCCATCCCCAAAGTATCTCATTATGTATATGCAAATTCTTGAAACTGAAAAGAATCTGAAATCTGAAATGTTGGTCCCAAGCATAAGAGATATTCAACTTGTACTAACAATATTAGCATCAAATATAGAACCTAACCTTTATGTTTGGTAGTGTGTAGTCATTACTTTCAAAATGGATAAAGGAGCATTGGGGAGAAATCTGTTAATACCTTCTGTGTCAATCAAAGTTCTAGCAGAAAAACAAATCAACTGGCAGTTAGACAAATAGAGAAAATTGAGAACAAGTTACAAAAATGGAGGGACTGAAAAGTCAAATAGTACCCTGTGAAACAATCACTGCAGCAGTATGGCTCCCTTAAGGCTGAGAGTAGTAGTATTACCTAAGCACAGAACCTGGATCTTATAGAATGGACCATGGTAGGGGGCAGCTGAAAGGGAGCTGGAACCACTGAAGTACTGCAGTCTTAGCCAGAGACATCATCCAAAGCAGAAAGAAGGTGGGAGGGAGAGAGAGACAGAAAGGCAGGGAGAGAGAGACAGAAAGGCAGAGACAGAGAGATTGACTTATTCTTGTTTTTCAGTTTCCATCTATAACTTCCCCTTATTCTGTTGATAAGGAAAGCAAATCAATGTCAATGACAGGTATTAAGTTTCTGCAAGCAGAGCAGAGCAGGACAGGGTAGGAAATCAATTTGAGATAATATGCAAATATACTTGTAAGATACATAAGACTAGTGGGCATACGATCAGTCCAGTCAATTTTCACTAGAGCCATTTACTCTGTACAACTATGAAGAGAATTATGAGCATTCTACAGGGCTGCAGAGGAGCACAACAGTGTTGTTAGTTCCTGGATATTACTCCCTTCTAAGTATTCTGCAACATACTCTTATTTGACAAAATGGACTTACCGCCTCGGCCTTTCACTATGGGAAATGTGATAGAAAGCTTCTTCTGCCCAAGTAGATGCATCTGGACTGTCATTGTACACCAGCAAGGACCACACAAAACAAAAAGGCAGAAAATATTGTAACTATTAAACAAGATTCAGCAGATCTTGACTGGGTCAAGTAATAGTGTATATGAGAAAGACTGCTACATATCAAAATAGATAGGGCTGGACTTGAATTCTGCCGTCTCCAATTGTCAACTATACAACTTTTTTGAACTTCAACTTCTCTATGGGTAAAACAGTATTAAATGTCATTTTCTCAATAGATTATTGTTAACTTAATTATTTTATTAAATTCAATGGCTTATAACAGAGGGTTTCCACATCATTGGCACTTAATACCTATTATTTCCCTATTATTTTTTCCATTTATGGAACAGAATATAAATTGTACATGTGAATGTGAAATTTCACATTAGTTAGTGCCATAAATAAGATCCTATTGAAAGTGCACAGAAATTAACAATTGCTGTGGTTTTATAGTTAGTACACAAAATAGTGAATTTTGTTTTGGTACTCAGCCCAGATGTTTCATATGTGTACTTGCAGAAATATTTTTTTCTTTTCAATTCAGTGACTTGAGTTAATACTCAAAACTTTATTAAATTACACAATGACTACAATGCAGTGTTATTGGTCTGTTGGTGAAATTACAGTTCTCCTGTATAGAATGAAATTTAAGTTGTATCTTGACGACTATTTCTTTTTCATGTTTCCTGGGAAAATCTTCTGAGAATTAAGCCCTAAGAGATTCCTTCAGAGAAGTACTCTGAGCCTTCGTAAATCTCCAGCTTATTTTTACTCAAAGTTCTTATTCAACATTGAATCTCTTGAGATTTTAACAGAGCTGTTAACCCTGACAAGTCATGCATAACAATTTGCAGTCTCAGAGAGTATTTGCTTGGTATAAAAATGCCTTATTAAATATTTCAAATTCGTCTTTAGAAACTTACCAGGAAGTCTACTCTTTCTGCCTCTCATTGATATGTGTCTATGCAAAATACGTGCTGTTTATAAAGCAGTAGTACCAAAAAACAAACGAAAAGAATGAGAATGACACAGGGCAATACCTAAAGAAAATAAGATTTAAGTTTTATTGTAGAAAAGATATCTTGAAGGCATTCTCATGTACTTAAATCTTTCTCAGATTTGTATAAAACATCAGCTGAGAGAAACTAATCCTCAGCATGGGAACAGCTAACTGTGTTCCATAGGAAATATTTACCATGAAAATATTGTATACCAAAAAGCAATGAAACTTGAAATACAATATTTTTGTGATTATAACTTTTAAGGGAAACAGTTTCAAAATTTAAGAATGCTTCTAAAGCACTTTTGAAAGATTTTTCTTTAATTGGGAAACCAATTATCTAGGGAGGGGAACTGTTGGTTTAATATCTATTCATCAAATCTATATAATAATTCCCAGAGAAAATTAGATTCCTATTTTAATATTCTGGTGGAATAATGGAATTTTAGACAATATATATTTTCATTTTGAAGTCTAGCACGTAGAGGGTAATAATTTTTTTTCTTTTCTACTATGCATAAAATTTGGGCACACAGTGTAAATAAAGGAATTGCTCAGACATAGAGATATAAATACTGATAATCCGTTTCACTTGAACTTTTAACGAGTGATAAAATTCTTTATTAAAGTGCCCAATATAATGCATTAACTAACTTTAAAAATGTCAGCAGGCAGATCATTAGAAGTGCCTGATGTTCAAAAATATCAGATATTCATCTTTATTTACTGTAATCTACTTGTAACAATAACTTTTTATTTTATCTCTCTTATGATGTATCTGGTTGCAAACATAATACACAATTACAGATATTTTTTTTCTTGACTTTTAACTTCATAGTTTTGCCCAGATTAAAAAGCAACTATAAATTATGAGAATAAATGTCCATTTTTCCCACTGAAACTCTAGCACACCATATTCATTTGCTAGAGTTGCCCTACAAAAGTGCCACAGGCTGGGTGGCTGACACAACAGAAATGTATTATCTTACAGTCTGGAAGCTAGAAGTCTGAGAACAAGGTGTCACCAGTTTGTTCTCTCTGAACAGAGAAGTGACCTGTTTCACAGCTCTCCCATAGCATCTAGTGGTTCGCTGACCATCTTTGGTGTTTTTGGCTTGTAGCCACATCGCCCTGATATTTACATTCATCTTCACATGATGTTATGCCTGTGTATATGTACCTTTCTCCACATTTTTCATTTTTATAAGGATGCCAGTCAATGTAGATTAGAGGCCCGCACTACTCTGGCATGATCTTCTCTTAACTAGTTTCATTTAAAAAGTACTATTTCTAAAGAAGGTCACATTCTGAGGTACTGGGGATTAGGACTTCAACATATCAATTTGGGAGGATATGATTTAACCCATAACATATACCTTGATTAGTTTACTTATTCATTTACTTTTTGTTTATTGATTAATTGATTGTCTTAGTTTATTTGGGCTCACATAACAGAAAGCCATAGTCTAGGTGGCTTAAACAACATTTATTTGTCACAGTTCTGAAAGATGGGAGGTCCAAAATCAAGGTGCAAGAAGATTCCATGATGATGGCACACTTCCTGGTTCACAGAAGGCCATCTTCTTGCTGTGTCATCATATGGCAGAAGGAATGAGGAAGCTCTTTGTGGCCTTCTTAATAAAGTTACTAATCTCTTAATAAAGAGGGATCTGCTCTCACACGGTATTTGCAAAAACCCTACCCTCAAATACTGTCACATTAGAAGTTAGGATTTCAACATATGAATTTGAGGGGCATATGAGCATTTAGCCTATAGCATTAATAAAAGCACACACTTTTGTCTAATATAAAGAATTACTGAAAATACCAAGTCTTATAATTTTTCCATCTAGATTTCAAATAAACAAGAATTTAAGATACGAATATATTTTTCTTTCAGCCTTAAGCTTTCTTTCCAGTCCTACCTAGTAAAAGATCCTTGAACAGTAGGGCAAGAGATTTCTTTTCCATCCCTGCTATTTATGTCCACTCCTGTTCTGTTCTCTGATGGGCTGGCATTTAGTTGGGCTCTGCTATTCATGTGTGTGTGTGCTCCCTTCAACCAGCAATCTGTGTACTCAAAGTGGTACCCTGATGCCTTCAGGCACTACCGAAGTACAGTACACATAGTACACGAGGCGATTTGTTGCTCTTTGCTTCACACACAAAGACAATTGTGTGAGACTTCCTGTGCAGAAATGTATGTAGCTGTTAATGACCATTCTTTTGGATCAGGGCAGAGAGTTACTATATATATATTTTTGTCTGCTCTACTAAGTTTCCTTTGTTACTTTAAACAATCACTTACTCAGTATCACCATGCTACCCTTCTTCCTTTTTCATCTCTTTTCCTTGTTTTTCCTTATTTAACTTGTCACTGCCTTCGTGTATCTCAACTCTCACTTAACAAGGCTGGACTTTTATAGACACCCCAAGCTAAACAGAGCAACTCTCCTCCTTTCATGTGGCAATTTAGCCTATTACAGCAAAAGAAGAATGATCTTGCACTGTTTGTGCTTCTGAGCTTTTTCCATGAAATGGTTGCCCAGGGACTGCTATTTGGACATTAAAAACTATTTAGGCTTAAATTGCTATTTCAGGGCCAGAGCTAATTTCAAAACCTGAGGAGTTTATAGCCTAGTTTTTTAATGGTCCTTATTCTACTGTTTTCTGTAGTTTTCCCTTTCCCGAATCCCAGTAATCTCTATGTGCCTAGAACTGTTAACACTCCTCTTATCAGATCAAAGAAAGATTTTTGTTGTTGTTGTTGTTGAGACGGAGTTTCATTGTTGTTGCCCAAGTCGGAGTTCAGTGGTGTGATCTCAGCTCACCGCAATCTCTGCCTCCCGGGTTCAAGTGATTCTCCTGCCTCAGCCTCCCAAGTAGCTGGGATTACAGGCATGCACCACCACGTCCAGATAATTTTGTATTTTTAGTAGAGATGAGATTTCTCCATGTTGGTCAGGCTGGTCTCAAATCACCAACCTCAGGTGATCCACCCGCCTCGGCCTCCCAAATTGCTGGGATTACAGGCGTGAGCCACTGTGCCTGGCCTTCAAAGAAAGCTTTAATTGAAATAATTTTATATCATTTTTAACCATATTTTAAGCTTGCTGCACATTTAAAGTCTAATCTGGGTACCTAACAACAGACTTTGTTTTATTTTAGTTTTTTCAGTGAGGTACCAGTGAAAATGTCTTCAAAACCAACTTTTAGTCGTAGATGCCTACCTAGTGGTATTCTCTGAATAAGTTGGAGGCTTGAATATCGGTTATGGATCAAGTGTTGTGCCATCACATAAAAAGTCCCTAATATGGGCCGGGTGCGGTGGCTCACGCCTGTAATCCCAGCACTTTGGGAGGCCGAGGTGGGTGGATCACGAGGTCAGGAGATCGAGACTATCCTGGCTAACATGGTGAAACCCTGTCTCTACTAAAAATACAAAAATTTAGCCAGGCGTGGTGGCGGGCGCCTGTAGTCCCAGCTACTCAGGAGGCTGAGGCAGGAGAATGGCATGAACCCAGGAGGCGGAGCTTGCAGTGAGCCCAGATAGTGCCACTGCACTCCAGCCTAGGTGACAGAAGGAGACTCCGTCTCAAAAAAAAAAAAAAAAGGCCTTAATATGCTATGTTAATAAATAATTATACTTTATAGTGGAAGAGATAGTCTATATGTGACCAGCTCAGGACAGTTTGTGGTGGGAACTGATTTAATCAAGCCAGAAAGGTTAGCGGTATATTGAGAAAACTCACAGGACACACAAACCCAAACTACCTCTCTAAGAATGGAGTAGCACAGAGGCAAGAACGCATCTTTGTCTCTAATACTTGTAATTTTGAGACCATTGTAGATTTGCATGTAATGGTAACATTTTGCAAATCTTTTTTTTTTCACAATGGTAACATCATGCAAAACCATAAAGCAATATCATAACCAGGTTATTGAAATGGTACGAGCTACTGATTGTCGTTAGGTTTCCCTAGATTTACTTGTATAAATTTGTGTGTGTGTGTGTGTGTGTGTGTGTGTATGTCTGTGTGTACGAGTGTGCTCAGTTCTACAGAATTTTATCAGCTGTGCCTATTTATGCATCAATTACCATAATCAAAATATTGAACAGCTCCAATATATAAGGATCCCTTATGCTTCCCTGCTATACCAAACTTCCTTGCTCTAGTCTGTCTCCCTAAATCTCTAGAAAATAATAACTTGTTATTCATTTCTAAATTTTTTCATTTCAAAAACGCTATATAAATGGAATCATAGCATACAACCTTTTGGGATTTACTTAATTTTCATTTAGTTGATTCCCTGAAGATTCATACAAGTTGTTGCATGTACCCATAGTCTATTCATTTTTATTGTTGAGTAATATTTCATAGTATGAATGTACCAGTTCATTTAACAAGTCTCTCATTGAAGGACATCAGGATGGTTTCCAGTGTGGGGCTATCATGAACAATGCCACTATGAATATTTGTAAGCAGGTTTTTCTGTGAACATCAGTTTTTATTTATTTGTTAAAATGCTATGGCTGGGCGCGGTGGCTCACACCTGTAATCCCAGCACTTAGGAGGCTGAGGCGGGCAAATCACCTGAGGTCAGGAGTTCACAGCCTGGCCAACATGGTGAAACCCCATCTCTACTATAAATAGAAAAAATTAGCTGGGTGTGGTGGCAGGTACCTGTAATCCCAGCTATGCAGGAGGCTGAGACAGGAGAATTGCCTGAACTCGGGAGGTGGAGGTTGCAGTGAGCCGAGATGGCGCCATTGTACTCCAGCCAGGGCAACATGAGCAAAACTCTGTCTCAAAAAATAATAATAATAAAATAAAAATAAAAAATAAAATGCCCTATTCAATTTATTGGGTAGATGTGTGTTTAGTTTTATAAGAAATTGCCAAACAATCACATTTCTATCCACAGTGTATGAGTGACCCAGTTTCTCAGCATTCTAAACAGCAAAGTTACTGTCACCATACTATTTGATTGGTCTGTAATTTGAAATCTCTTTTAGACATAACACAGCTCTCATCCTCTGAGGATGGATAATTGCAAGTCATATTTCTTCTTAGAGTCTCATTGTTAAAATACTATTTAGGGGCCAGAATCCTTAATATATTATACATATTTATGATATGCTAATAAGGATTGTTAGGTGAGCTTGGCATATTCTATTTTCTAGGATCCCTTGAAGACACAGAATAAACTTTCCCTAAAATTGTGTCTGAAGTTCAACATGGAAGTACAAATTTTCTTTCTTTTTTTTTTTGAGACAGAGTTTCGCTCTTGTTGCCCAGGCTGGAGTGCAATGGCACAATCTCGGCTCACTGCAGCCTCCACCTCCCAGGTTCAAGCAATTCTCCTGCCTCAGCCTCCCAAGTAGCTGGGATTACAGGCATGTGCTGCCATGCCCAGCTAATTTTTGTATTTTTAGTAGAGACAGGGTTACCAAAAAAAAATTTTGTGTGTGTTAACAAAAAAAAATTCACCATGTTTGCCAGGCTGGTCTCAAACTCCTGACCTCAGGTGATCCCCTAGCCTCAGCCTCCCAAAGTGCTGTGATTACAGGCATGAGCCACCATGCCCGGGCCTAGAAGTACAAATTTTCTAGTTGAACGGACATTAGGTCCTGAGTCATTGACATAATTACTAAAATAAAAAACTATTAATTGTCAGTGCTTCCATATTCAAATACCAAAATGAATACAAAATTCCATACAAGATCAATTGATTGTAAAAACATTTTTACTTGATAGATAACCCAAATTAGTAGGTAGAATTTTTCTAGTGATGTGGAATAAAATATCAAGTATGCACCATTAGATGATTCATCAGGTACATTTTATGAATAGATGTGAATTCTTAGATGAGCATTCTTACCCACTAATTCTGCAATGAAGCTGTATATCCCTTAATATATGGTTGTCATGTTATACTTAGATTAAGTTTTCATTTAGAAACAATTGAAATATTATATAGGTGTATCTAATTATGCAAATCGTGTTTTAAAAAGTAAGCACAAAGACACGATCATACTAGATTCAATAATTTTATTACCTCAAAATATAGTATTTTAAATGTTATAAATGAATTTACAATCCATTTTCATTTTAAAAAATCCAGTGCGATGTTGGCACTGTGTATAAGACACTAAAGGAATGAGATTTGAACTTAGTAGACCAGTTGGCTGTGCGCAGTGGCTCACACCTTTAATTCCAGCACTTTGGGAGGCTGAGCGGGGCGGATCACCAGAGATCAGGAGTTCAAGACCAACCTGGCCAACATGGCGAAACCCTGTTTCTACTAAAAATACAAAAATTATCTGGGCATGGTGGAGGGTGCCTGTAGTCCTAGCTACTCAGGAAGCTGAGGCAGGAGAATTGCTTGAATCTGGGAGGCAGAAGTTGCAGTGAGCCAAGATCGCACCACTGCACTCCAGGCTGAATGACAGAGCAAGACTCCATCTCATGTCTCAGAAACAAACAAACAAAAACAAATGGACAAAAAAAGGAGACCAGTTATGTGACTCATTAATTATGCAGGTAATAAATAAAAAGAATGTGTAAGACAGAAAATGACTTGAATGGAGTGTTGTGATGTCATTGATAATTTAATATCAACTCACCCACCTTCCCAACTTAATCACAAATCATTCCACCTCCAGTTTTCAGAACAGTCATGAAACATGCTATACACAGCTTTATCATAACTCTGATTTAACTGCAAAATTAGTAGCAATTTGATATATGAGTGCAAGCCAACCAAATCTTGGTTATATTTTATTGCTTTTTTAATGAAAATCAAAAGAGACCATCATTCACAATGTTACCAACACATAAAGAGCCATGTTAAAAGGTTTGGGACCAATATTATATTTTAGACTCTCTTTCATTACAGTCGATGACAGGGAAAGAAAGCAAGTAATATGTTTTATACATAAATTTAATTAAATTTACTAGGACACAACCAGTACTGATCTCCATAGCTATTTCAGCATACCCATTTTCTGTGTTCAAATTAATCATATGCTAAATGCCATCACACACTAAAATTTGTTTTCCTGAATGCACAGGTACCTCTGTTCTACAGGTGACAGCTACTGATGCAGATGACCCTACCTATGGAAACAGCGCTCGGGTGGTTTACAGCATTCTCCAAGGACAACCCTACTTCTCCGTCGACCCTAAAACAGGTTAGTGCATTTACACATAACTCGCATGCAAGCGTTTGCTACAGTAAGTTGCAAAGCAATGGTTTTTATTTCCATATGCTCTTTTCCATTAGATGATGTGATTTTAACATATTTTAAACATATCCTCACTTTTTCTAAAACAATGTAATGAAATAATTGAAAATAAATTAATGTACATATATTATGCTTTCCCTATTATGTTGATAACCCATTATTTATACCCGTGCAAGAAAATGTTACTTATCCTTCAGTATTTCTGTAATACTTAAATAAATAATCTGTGTTTAAAACAAATATGGCATATTACAAACATTGAGTGAGATTTTCAAATATATTATTTGCTCCGCTTGTATATTAGTTTTAATTCTTAGCTGAAGAGGGTAAATAGCTCTTTGAAATTTTCCTACATTGATTTTGCTTGTCACATAAATTGTTAGGTATACATACACACATATATATAAAATTGTATTGTACTGGGGGATTTCTATTTCTTGGGTTGGCAATTTTTTCTAATGAGTAAATTATTCAGCCCTCAAATATTGTGTTACCAAAAAAGAATTAAAATAATGTCAAAGACATAAATATTTTTTCAGGAAAAAATATAAATTCTGCTCTCCTTTTATTTTTTACTGGCCAAAACATATTATGTCAATCATATCATGTCAATCATATCATATGACATTATATCACATCAGTTATATCCTGTCATATCAGGCCAAAATGGTAATGAAGGCTGCTTAATAATGTATTACAGGATTTGCTACAGCAGCGGAATCCAAAAACCATAAAAAAATCACATGTCCCCATTGACAATCAATTTGTTGCTAAAAATTTGGTTAAGTAAAACTCATTTTTAATTTAGACAAGTGTTCAGTAACAAATCTCAAGTTTTTCTAAAATTTTAAGGATGTACATATTTATGAGATGGATGAAGTAGAGAGAGATCTAGGATGTTCCAGCAGCACCATACATCCTTCTTGAGCGCAAGATGCATTCTGAATCAGATCAACATCTGGCATCTCCAAGTAAATGGCATAGCCACATAACTAATACAAAAAGGAGCTATTTTTTAATCATAAATATCTCTTTATACTTCTATAATTATATAGCATATAACCCATTTTTCAGGGAACCTTGTTCCATAAGTCTACAGATTATAGATTTATTTACCAATGTGTTATGTGAGGCACATCCAACTAAAAACATGGTATAGATAAGCACTTTCTCTCTAGCTAATACCACTAGATTGTTTACCAAGAGTTTTGTCATTATCATGTTTACAAGAGGATTTGATTGGGTCACTTGCCTTCTTTCTTTTCCTGGAGTGCTCCAACATGGAAATACACTGGCATGAATGGATCTCAGACATACTTGCTTAACTCTTTCCTTCTTTCTTTCTTTCTTTCTTTCTTTCTTTCTTTCTTTCTTTCTTTCTTTCTTTCTCTTGCTTAACTCTTTCTTTCTTTCTCTCTCTCTCTTTTCTTTCTTTCTCTCTTTCTTTTACCTTAAAAAGAAAACAACGTAGAACATATATAGATATAGAAATGAAGAACATACACATGAATATATATAAATATCCTTATATGCATTATAATTGTAGAATAGATTGTAATATGTAGTTAAAGTGAAAAATAGATATTGGGATATAATAAAATAAATAACATAATGCAACTTAAAATGAGTATGAGACCTGCAGGTTCTGTTGGTTCCAAGGTATCACTTAATATTTAGGAAAACATGCTTATTAATCTAGTAATCTAAGTGGTGGCACAAAAATGTACATATTTATGATTACACATTATTATTCATTAGAAGAGCTTAGAATTAGTTGAAAAGCTCGCCATTCTTTAATGGTGATATTTCACATTTTGTTCTATTTTCCCAATAATAATATTTGCTTCAAATATAAAATAAATATAAATTCCTACCTTAAAATACACATCTCCCTAGAGGAAAGTAACAGGAATGCTGTTTCAACTGCCTTTTTTAGAAATATACTAACACACATGCATGCACATGTCACAAAGGCATACATGCATAAAGACACATGCACACAAATATATGACATTAGTCCATTAACGATGCCATACAAAGCCAAACATTTATTTATAAATAGTTACAATTATCTAATAGAATATCGCTGTGATATAAACAGCCTGTATAAAATTGTTTAAAAAAGTTATTTTACACTTTTTATGCATACAATTGGTTAACAAACATCAATTTTGTGTGTTCATGTGTCTGAATGTGAATGTTTGCATATGTTGTGTGAGTAAATACATGTATGTGTATGCACTTGGATGGATAAATTAGGTCACTGAGACCAATGCTCTAATAGTGTTGGACTGCTGTAGTTTGTGATTTGGGGGAAGCAAATATATCAGTAACATAATATGTAAATACAATGTGCATTCATTTATGTACATATATTATAGTTTAAGTGAGTACCTTATTAAACAACAAAAATAAGTTTATCTCAAGTGTAAATAGGCTGCTATTCAAATGCTACTCTACAAAATTTTCTTTGCTCTTGCATTTCTTTGTTCCTTTCTTCAGAGCTTTAATATATTGAATAAAGTACATGCCTCCACTTTGATGTGTGTTAATATCAGTATTATACTGGCTAATGCATCATGGGAACCTATGGATATCTGTCCTACTAGGTCATTAAGGAACAAAAGTGTTTTTAAAGATCTTTTAAATATGCAAGTATCTTAGAGAGTTAGACAGTTATCAGTAGAAAGTGCTAAGTAGGGTATAAAATAAAATGTTCATTAGTCTTCACAAACAACAAATTTGGCAATTTGTGCTTAAAAACCCAATTATGATGCTGTTAAACATCCTCAGAACTAATGAATTTAGTTGAAATTGTGCAGAAAAGTGAATGGAATAAAATACAAACATACTGAAAATCAAAGAATCAGTTAAGTTGGATGGCATGTTATATAAGAAGCATGGAAATAGTAGTCACTTATAATGGTGTATATTAATAGTATCACTTAATTCCATTCCCCTAATTAGTATGACTGCACCTCAGCATGTTTCCAGTTATTTTCATTGAAGACCAATCATAATAAAACATAACTTCTGACCCCTCAAAATGTGGACTTGTGAGTGCTTATGACTAAAATCAGTGTTTCGATTGCCTTGTTTCCATGAAAGATGCATTTTATTAACCATTGTGCTCTTCCAGAGACCTTGGCTTCCTATTTTGTAAACCATCTCTGAGTAGCTGTATCCAGAAAATGAATTGTGTGGCTGTTGAGTTACTATGTGATACAGAATTAAATTAATAATATCTGAATTTTTTTACACTGAAATCTTATCAGTATGGTGAAACATCTTGTGAAAAAAATGTATTGTTTTTAATGACTTTCGTTAAGGTAATTTTATGATTTGTGTTCAGTGTGTACCAACAAAGGACAAATGTGCACTAAAAAATGATGGTTTAACATTAACTACCATTTAAAAGGTACAGGGGCCTACGATGATAAAATATAAAATACATATGCTATTTCTGGCTAGATTCATAGGAAGAAAACATTTTTTACAGTTATTAAAGAAAACATTTTACTATCTAAGGAAACAGCTAAACCTAAGCAATGCATTTTGAGGAAGGCCACTGAGTGAGAAAGTCATTTTGAGTTATCAGAAAATGAAATTCAAGAGAAATCTGGGATGATGGTTGTTTATTAGCACAACTCAAATCTCACTCTTACTTCAGTTATTATAGTGTAAACTGAGTTAAAAATAAATCAATATTTCAAGTTTTCTATGCCTTTTCAGAAACCATAAAATTTTTGTCAGGTGGTGACTACAAAAGCTGAGTGATCAAATTCCTACACAAAAGAACTAGTTCCCATAACATAGGTTGGAGACAGAACCAGAAATCTACCAGGTATCATTCCAGGGCCTTAGAAACAGAATGGAAACTTTCCATTTCCTTACGGAATGGAAGACCAGTGTAGTTTTTAACTGGACATGAAAATCTCTTAATGCTCATTACTTTCATGGCCATTTGATGATTCTCTGATTGCTGTTTCATAGTTAACAACTTATGAACTACTTAATATTATTTTTGTTAGTGCATCTAATTTAAGTCATGCCTGTGTCTATTTCATACAAGTATACTGAATCTTCCTGATGACCAATTCAGGAAGCCTGAAAACCTAAATTAAAACCTGATGTCACGAAAAATACAGGAGTATACTGTTTTACAAAATCGTAGTTAAACCTCCCTTACAATTGTTTATAGTAGTCAATATCAGCTCTTTTGACCATAATTAACATGAAATGTATAAATCATTGACAGTCAGTAATGGAGATCATACATTTGTATAAATGATTCTCATAGTGGGTTTTTTTCACATGCCCAGTAAATACTACTAAGCCATTTTTTAATTTTCATATTTGCGTGTTTATGTTTTAAACTCATGTATCATTTTTCATACAGTCTTTACATATCTTAATGTAAGAATATTTATTTATAAAATATAGCGGCTGAAAACATTTACATTGATACATTCTACATTTAATTGTCAGGTACATAAAAATAGTAAGATCAGACAGGCTATCTTTATTTATATACAAAGAGCATACCACATTTTTTTAATCAACACTCCTAATGTATTTCGGTATTTTAATTTTTTGTGTTACATGATATTAAAAAGGAGTAGACATTGAACTTCAAATATTTTGTCAGTCAGATTCTTTTGCATTAATAACATCTATCTCACTTAGATGAGATAGAACACTATCTCAGATGCTAAGAACACTTAGCATCAAGTAAAATTCCCTACACCTAATAATGACTATCAGTTTCAAAGACACAGTCAGATTATTATTTATTTTGACATGGCGTTATTATAAATATCATGAAGAAACTGCTTACTTGGCCTTTCTACCAAAGATTAATATACTATTTGGAGTCACGTTATAGTTTAATTAATATAATATAAATATAGCGTAAATTATAAATATTTTTTCTGAAATAGTAAGGTTTATTGCAAAAGAAGTTGAGGATGCTTTGTGTTCAAATTCTAGAATACTACTTAGTTGCTTAATAAATTGATCGAATTAATTAAGTTTTTTGCTTCTGTTTCCATGTGTATAAACTTAGAATGGTAATGCCTAAATCCCATGGGAAAATGAGGGCAATGCTCTTAGTCCAGTCCTTGGAAAAATATAGGACTCAAGTTATCTTGTCTCCTTCTTTAAGATTGACAAGAGGCTGGGAGCGGTGACTCAAGCCTGTAATCCTAGCACTTTGGGAGACCCAGGTGGACGGATCACGTCAGGTCAGGAGTTCAAGACTAGCCTGGCCAACATGGTGAAATCCTGTCTCTGCTGAAAAATACAAAAATTAGTCAGGTGTAGTAGTGCATGCCTGTAATCCCAGCTACTCAGGATGCTGAGCCAGAGAGAATCGCTTGAACCCAGGAGGCAGAGGTTGCAGTGAGCCAAGATCGTGTAACTGCACTCCAGCCTAAGTGGCAGAGTGAGAAACTCCATCTCAAAAAAAAAAAAAAAAAGAGATCGACAAGAATTTCCAAAATTACTACATTTTGAATGATTATGAGAATTTGAAATAGTCTTATCTGAAGTAGTAAAAAATGATTATTTTGTTTGAAAGAACTTTTTAGTCAAAAAGTTATATAAATTTATTTTAAAAAGATAAGATACATTATGAACTTATATGCGATTAAATTCTTTCCAAACATTTTCTAGAAATCTTTTACAAACATGATAAATAAGAGAAATATACCATTGGAAAATTGTGAATGATAATCTGTAAGGAGATAAAAGTTAGACAATAAAATAACCAACCTTTTATCTTCGGAATTGACAGTCTTGACTCAGAATAGTGTCTCTAGATGAGGTAAACTGCCATGCTCTGTCTGAAACAACAGCCACTAATGCAGAGCTCTTGACGGACAATAACTGTGATTCTTCAAGATGACCTTTTCTCAACATATTGTAACAGAATTCAATCAGCTATAAAAATGAACTCAGTTAAAGACCTCAATGAATTTCGTAGGATATAATTGAAAACAAGGTTTTTCAACATTATTTCTTCAGTCTGCATAAAGTAGTTAAATTCATCAACATTTTTTGGTTCTCTATTACCTCCCCAAATTTATTTCATTTCATTTTTGCTCAGTGAGGAAAAATATTAAGTCTAGGAATGATTTCTCTATATGCTTAAAGAAACTATATAAAGCATCTTTGGAAGTCCTATAGATTTTAAATTTCATTTTGTATCATTTCATATGAAAATCTATTTGACAATAGTTTTCACTTTCCAAAGTCAATATTTTATATCTATTAAAAGCTAAGACAATAAAATATTTAAATTGTGGTTTACAATATCTGCAGAAGATAAAGAAGATTTCACAATAGAATATGCTTTGTCAATTTATCTTTTTATAACCCATTCCTATTGATAATAATAATAACAATAATAATTGCTTGCACAAACAATTTTGCAGTATGTCCTCACTTATCATTCATAGATTCTTGGAAACTGTAATTTTTAAGCAAAATAAAGTATAATGACAATATATATTGTTTCCGTCAATGTTATAAGGAAATGAAGTAATGGAAATGACATAATTTGAGGACCTGCTGTATGTCCCTTCTCTTGCAATCACCATTTTAAAGAACCTATTAAGGACATTGAGAACTTACTGTAGAAACATTTAAAAATAATTATTTTATATTCTCAGACAACAGACAAACAGACAAAAATGGTTAGGTAGTCATCATCAAAGCTAAGTAATTTGTTCCTCTTGGAAAAAAAATTAATAGGTTCCATTTACTGAAAAAAAAAAAAAAATCTCACTTTGTCTACTTTAGGGAAGAATTCCAAGTAGTTCCTGAACTGCAGCAGATTGTGTGAGGACAACAACACAAGAAAAAAAATCAGCTGTAGATAGCATTTAAGAAATAGAGAGTTATTAAATTCTAGTAGACATTAGTGGTTGTCTATTTAATATCAATTTCTCATTTTGCCTGTCATATCATAACTCTGATTTTACTCAGGGTAGCAACATATGCAGTTAAAAATCTAGATTTTTCCAACTTCCCTGTATCTATCAACACTGCTCTGGCCAGTGAGGCCACTGAGGTATTTTAGGAAAATTTGGAAATCTTTATAAAGGTGCCAATGCTCCCTCAATCAGCTTTATCATCTTCTGGATTTAAACATGTATTTGTGATCATGTGACAACAAGCACACAAAGAGAAGGTTACATGGAAATTGCTGAAGAAAAGGACCTCAATGAAGTCACTCCGATTATGTTATTTTTATATTCAGATGCATGCCCTGCACTAACTGATACCTGGGACCTTTGTGAAATGCACTTTGCAGACATATGAATCACCTTCATAGTACAGTGCACTGCCCAGGCAGGTGTTGAGCTGGCTTCCTGAGAATACTTTCATTACTTTCAACCTGAAATCTATGAACCAGAGAGAGCACACTGCTCTCTCTCCATGAGTAACCACTTTACAGTTTCAGTGCAATATCAAACTGCAAAAGGACATTTTTCACACTGATTTAAATGAAATATCAAAAGGTATATTAGGTTTGCTATTTGGGGGAATCAAAATGAAACTAAATGCATTTTTCTCTGATACTCCACTGAGAATGCATATTTATTAGATAATTGTATTTCCAAAACAAAGTACCAAAGTACTTTACAGACACTATAGATATCAGATAACTCTCCTACTCCGTGGCAAGATCATAGTGTCCTTTTGACATCAACAGAATAATATCTATCAAATTTAATTCCTCTGCATATAGTTCTAACAAAATGCAATTATAGATCAGTGTTCTATTCTAGTCAAACTATTCGTTGTAGCCCTAGATGAAACAATTAAGATGGAATTAGGTTGAATTGTACACTTAAGTAAATTTTATGGTATGTAAATTAAACTTACAAAAAGCTGTTAAGCAAACAGAGTAAGGAAACCAATTGAATGTACTTCTTCAAAAATATCAACTGTTTGTCAAAAAATTGACCAGCTGCTACCAGGAGAGTAAAAAAATCATCTAATTCGCTATAAAATGGTAGTTATACCTTTACATATCAAAAAGATAAGAATCAATGTTGGTCAATTGTAGCATATCTTATACTATTTCTTCCTAATAAAAGATAAATTTACTTAATCTTCTTTTTTTTGTGACCTCGCTCTATGCCTCCTGCATCTCAATAGTAACTATTGAGAAAAAAAAAATACTGGGAATTATTGTTTAGCCAATAGCGTGGCAAATATATTAGCTATTAATACTAGTTAATTTATTGTCAAATATTAAATCAATAGATAACAGGAAACATTGCGATTGTGTTCTTTAGTCTTTAAACCTGATTAAACATAATTCATGTTATATAATTACCAAGCAATTTGATTTTTCTTTCATTACTTTAAATTTATTCTGAGGTCATTTATCCTACTGCCACAGGATTAAATGTACTGCAATCCCATTGATTCCCTAGATTCTTCCCTAACCCAGTATCTTAGATATGTACAATGAAATCTAGAAAGCACTAGAATATTATTAATGTTCCACAATTTTTACCACTATATATACACATATATATAGAAAATACACATATATAATTTTCCTATTATATATACATATATGTAGAATACATACATATATATAAATATGTGTGTGTGTGTGTATATATATATATATATAAATTTTAAGCTCATACTTACTTCTATATTTCAACCAAGCACTGCTTCTATGTTATTTTTTCACTTAGTCTATTGATCTTCCTGGCATGCCCTTCCCACACAAATTTACACTTCAGTGGTTGATTCCCTGGACTCTTAGAACTAATCTCTGATCTTTGAGTAACATTTTTACATTCCTCCTAAAACATAGCAGTAGCCCTTTTGTTCATATGGCATTTCTTCTCTACTCTGAGAGCTCTATAAGGGCTTCAATACCATAGATGTTACTGTTGCTTTCCACACCAGGCCTCCCTGAGTGCTTTACACACAGTAGCAAGTTTTTAATTATCTGTATTTTCTTTTATTTCTATAAATTTGAGGGATACAAGTAGAGTTTTGTTACATGGATATATAGTGGTGAAATTTGGGCTTTTGGTATAATAAACACCCAGAAAATGTACTTTGTACCCAATAAGTAATTTCCCGTTCCTCATTCCTGCCCACCCTTCAGAGTCTCCAATACTTATTATTCCCCACTCTATGTCCATGTGTACACATTATTTAGCTTTCACTTATAAGAGAAAATATGTAGGATTTGACTTTATCTTTGCATTATTTTACTTAAGATAATGGCTTCCAGTTCCGTCTATGTTCCTGCAAAAGACATGATTTCATTCTTTTTAATTGCTGAGTAATATTCCACAGTGTATATGTAGCACATTTTGTTTATCCAGTCATCCATTGGTGGATACTTACTGTATATTTGCTATTGTGAATAGTTCTAAATAAACATATGGGTATAGATATGCTTTTGATACAATGATTTCATTTTCTTTGGGTAGTAGTAGTAGTGGGTTTGCTGAATCAAATGGTAGTTCTATTTTGAGTTTTTTTGAGAATTCTCCATGCTGTTTCTCAGAGGTTGTGCTAATTTACATTCCTATCAACAGTGTATAAACATTCCCTTTTCTCTGCGGTGTTTCCAACATTTGCTTTTTTTTTTTTTTTTTTACTTTATACTAACAGTCATTCTGACTTGTGTAAGCTGTTATTCCATTGTGGTTTTAATTTACCTTTCTCTGATGAATAGTGATGTTGAGCATTTTTTTCAAATGCTTGATAGCCATTTGTGTCTCCTTTTGAGAAATGTCTTTTACATGCTTGGCAGCCCTTCGTATGCCTCCTTTTGAGAAATGTCTGTTATGTCTTTTGCCCACTTTGAAATAGGGTTATTTGTTTGTTGTTGTTGTTGTTGTTGTTGTTGTAGTTTATGAGTTGTATGCATTCGTTGTAGATTCTGGATATTAGTCTCTTGTCAGATGCATAGTTTGCAAGTATTTTCTCCCATTCTGAAAGTTGTTCACTTGGTTGATTTGTTGCATTTGCTGTGCAGAAGCTTTTATTTTAATATAGTCTTACTTGTCTATTTTTGTTTTTGTTGCATTTCCTTTTGAGGTTTTAATCAGGAATTATTTGCCTGAGCCAATGTCTAGATGAGTTTGTCCCAGGTTTTCTTCTAGTATTTTTATAGATTCAGATATTAACTCTTAATCCACCTTTAGATAATTTTTATATATAATGAGAAATAGGTGTCCAGTTTCATTCTTCTGCATATGACAATCCAATTTTCCCAGAACAATTTGTTGAATAGGGTGTTCTTTCCTCAGTGTTTGTTTTTGTTGGTTTTTTAAAAGATCAGTTGGCCTTAGGTATGTGGCTTCATTTCTGAGTTCTGTATTATATTTCTTTGATCTATGTGTCTATTTTTATGTTAGTACTATGCTGTTTGGTTATGATAGCCTTGTATGAAGAACCAAACTGAAGGCATCATATTATTGGACTTCAAATTATGTCTCATTATCTTTATTGAAGGCCTACATTATCTAACTTTAACTACAAAACTAAGTTTTTAAAAGTTTTGTAGAAGAAATGACTTGTGGATTATTATTTTTAAATAAATATTAGTAATATTTGTATTTTACATAACATTTGTCACGTCTCTGATCTTCTGTAAACAGTTTTTATTTTGCTACTTCTATCAATTTTGTAATATTCTAGTTTAGGATTTTTCCAAATGATTGCCAAAACAGTAGTATTTCAGAGCTCTTAGAAAACTAAATATTTTTGGAAACATGATAAATAAAATAATTCTCAGTTTACAAGTTTACAAAGTAAATTATTTCTGAGAAACGAAAACAACATGTTTTACATGTACATAACTAAAAAATAAATCTCTGGAATGCAAGCTCACTGAGACCTTGCATTACTCATTTTTGTATCTTCCATAATGGTTAGTGCATTGTGTGACACATAGAAGACAATATTTGTTTATATAGAAATAAAATCTGACTTTGGGAAGGCAGTTATTCAAAATAATACCATTTCTAATATTAATGCTCATGGTTTTTTAATTGTCTTATTTTATTTCTCAAAAATATTCCCATCTTCCATATATTGAATTTAGAAAGGCTGAATGTCTGAATAAGAGAAGAATCATTAACTTATGAGTGTTTTATTTTTGTTTTTTGAGACGGAGTCTTACTCTGTCACCCAGGCTGGAGTGCTGTGGCATGACCTTGACTCACTTCAACTTCTGCCTCTTGGGTTCAAACAATTCTCCTGCCTCAGCCTCCTGTGTAGCTGGGATTACAGGTGCCTGCCACCATGCCTGGCAAATTTTGTATTTTTTAGTAGAGACAGGGTTTCACAATGTTGGCCAGGCTGGTCTTGAACTCCTGACCTCAGGTGATCCACCCACCTCGGCCTCCCAAAGTGCTGGAATTACAGGCATGAGCCACTGAGCCCAGCCAAACTTATGGTTTTAAGGTTTATGTTTTTTCTATTATTGTTAAAATCTCAATTTCATTTTCTTTTTGCTTTGGTCTTATGTGCCTAACTCTCCCAACATTTTGGGATATGCCTTTTCTTTCTTTTCTTTTTTTCTTTTCTTTTCTTTTCTTTTTTTTCCTTTTCTTTTCTTTCTTTTCTTTTTCTTTCTTTCTCTCTTTCTCTCCTTTTTCTCTCTCTCTTTCTCTCTTTCTGTCATTCTGTCTTCCTTCCTTCCTTCTTTACTTTCTTTTTTTGTTGTTGTTTTTTGAAAGAGTTTCACTCTTGTTGCCCAGGCTGGAATACAATGGCAAAATCTCGGCTCACTGCAGCCTCTGCCTCCCAGTTTCAAGTGATTCTCCAGCCTCAGCCTCCTGAGTAGCTGGGATTACAGGCGTCTGCCACTGAACACAGCTAATTTTTGTATTTTTAGTAGAGATGGGTTTCACCATGTTGATCAGGTTGGCCTCGAACTCTTGACCTCAGGTGATCCACACACATTGGCCTCCCAATGTGCTGGGATTATAAGCATGAGCCACCGTGCTGGGCCAAGCCTTTTCTTTAAAATACAAATAAATGTCTCAAGCTCCCATCCTATGCAGTATCAGAAGAAAGTTCCCCAAACCCTTTCCTCCACATATTTCCGAAGTAAGTGCCAGGTGAGTGGTAAGTGCCAGGTGAGTGGTAAGTGCCAGTTGAGGGGTAAGTGCCAGGTGAGGTATCAGAGCCACTGCCATGGCAAGTGATTGGTTCATGGGTAATAAGAGGAATTTACCAACAGTACAGGTTTGAAAGGAAAGTTATTTATTTATTTATTTATTTATTTATTTAACAGAGTCTAGTTCTGTTGCCCGGGCTGGAGTGCAGTGGCACCATCTTGTCTCGCTGATGCTGAGACCAGCTCGGTCATGGAGTCCCTAACCCAGTGGTGCTAGAGGAATTAAAGACACACACACACTGAAATATACAGTGGGGAGTGGGAATCAGGGGGCTGACAGCCTTCAGAGCTGAGAGCTGCGAACAGAGTTTTACCCACATATTTACTGACAGCAAGCCAGTGATAAGCACTGTTTCTATAGATTATAGATTAACTAAAATGGGAAACAAAGGGATGGGCTCTGGCTAGTTATCTGCAGCAGGAACATGTTCTTAAGGCACAGATCGCTCATGCTATTGTTTGTGGTTCAGGAACGCCTTAAGCGGTTTTCTGCCCTGAGTGGGCCAGGTGTTCCTTGTCCTGATTCTGGTAAACCAACAATCTTCAGCATGGGCATCATAGCCATCAGGAGTATGTCACAGTGCTGCAGAGATTTTGTTTATGGCCAGTTTTGGGGCCTGTTTATGGCCAGATTTGGGGGCCTGTTCCCAACATGTCCCCCCCTTTTTTTTTGCAAGATGATAAAAGCAAAGGCAGCTTTATCTCCATGAGCTACTTCTCACAGGAATCACGATCCACATCTGCAGAGTATATAAAGACAAACAACACAAATTAAAAGCACAGTCATCATTGAAATCACAGAGCCTCCAGGTGTTTTTATCCATTTAAATGGGTTAATAGCTACTAATCCATCTGCAGCTCCTTCAAGCACTCCAGTTCCTGACAGTAAGATCAGGTGTGCCTGGGATGCTTTAAATATTTGTTCTTTTAATTTTGCAATATCCAAAGGCAAGTTTGTAGAGTGTCCTTCTAGATGCTTTTTCATTATTTCCCAAATTTTGATCTTACTAAGAGCCATTAATAGTTTCCACAAATCCTTATGTTTAGCTCCTAGAGTGGGCCATATCATTTGAGGTTGAGGTGCCACTATACCGCCATGTTTCCAGATAATAGGAACTCTTGCCACACTTCTTAACCATTTCTACCATCTGACTATTTTATTCAGACCAGCTGAACGTAGTGTGGCCATGGCATGCAGATGGAGAAGGGCAATTCAAGCTAAACATCCCCTTAGGGGACTATTCAGTAATGATTCCATGGGAATTATTGTGCAGCACCTCTGCCTGTTCTGCAATGCAATCTTCCCAAACAAGCACATTTATTTTTTCTGACCAGGTCCAATCCTGTTTACAAATAGGTTTTTGATGTGGTATGCCTCAGTTATAGGAGCAGATTTATTATGGTAAATACTAAGACCAGAAAGCAAGTGTAACTGTGTCATAGAGTGATTACATCCAGGCATTATTGCCAGCCAAGATTGATAGTGAAGGTGTAGGCAACTAGTGGCCTTTCCCAAACAGATAGGCAGATGTTCAAATCCTAAAGAAATATTCATAACAGTTCCTTCCTCCTGTGGGTGAGATGGGCCTCTATCATCTGTAGGACTGAACATCCAAGAGCTATCATTAGTGTATACCTCCACTGGGGGGTCCAGCCAAGTTACAGGCCGTAGAAGTGGTGGAAAAGGTAAATATGCCCAATAAGTATAATTGTTCTCTGTGTCAGCCCTTGTTAAAGGAATACTCTAGGCAATGGTGATCACCACTATCATAGCTATCATTAAGTTACTCATTGTGACTGGTTGTCCTGCTTTCCTCAGGTTTTCTTCCACCATCTGCGACAGCTTCTTGATCTGTCCCCAGGTAGGTGGCTGTGTTCAACGGGTGTTGCTCGTGACAGTTGGGGTCCTCCTCAGCATGAACTTGAGCAATGCTGCCAATGATGGGTCTTTGGGATCCTCCCAAAACCTCTTCCTGGGTAGCTGGCTCATAGTACGGCTTTAGATGTCTCGATGGTGCCCAAATTGGCTGTTGATTCAGTCCTGGAGAAACACAAGCATAGTCTCTACCCCAAGTTATTATTTTACCTATTTCCCAACCTTTTGTTATCGGATCTCTCCACCAAACCAGTTGCTCTGCTTCTGTCTTTACAGCTGGTTTCTGTAGATGCTTTTTAGCTGCTGATAGCATCTGGCCTTTAGGCAGGCTCAAAAAATTTAAAGTCAATAATGCTAGATTCAGTTGTATATGTGGAGTCCCGTAGTCCCTATTTCCCCTCTTTTGCTTTTGTGACTGTGGTTTCAGGGAGAGATTCATTCTTTCCACTATGGCTTGTCCTTGAGAATTATATGGGATACCAGTAATGTGTTTAATATTCCATATAGATAAAAATGTAGCTGGAATTTGGCTAGTATAGCCTGGGGCATTGTCTGTTTTAATAGAAGCTGGAATGCCCATCACTGCAAAACACTGCAAAAGGTGACATTTAACACAGGCAGAAGACTGTCCTGATTGGCATGTAGCCCAGACAAAGTGAGAAAAGGTGTCCACACATACATGTACATAAGCTAGTCTCCCAAATCAGGGAACATGTGTGATGTCCATTTGCCAAAGAGAATTAGGTTCCAATCCTCAAGGATTAACTCCTCCTGTAAAAGATGAGGAATGCACCATGTGGCAAGTTGGGCAATGCTGGATAATAGCTTTAGCTTTTTTCCAGGTAATGCTGTATCTGCGTTTGAGACCAGAGGCATTAACATGGGTTAAATTGCGAAAGTGTCTGGCATTAGATATTGCAGTAGCAACTAGGCGATCAGCCATTTGATTCCCTGCAGTCAAAAGTCCTGGAAGAGGTGTATGAGCCCTAATATGAGTGATGTAAAAGGGTACATTCTACTCCTAACTGCTGTTTGCAATTGGGTAAACAAAGTTATCAGTTGCTCATCTGTATGAAATCGTAACTGAGCATTTTCAGTTAATTGTGTGGAATGAACCACATATGAAGAATCAGAAATCACATTAATATGCATATCAAAAGCAGTCAATACCTCAATTACAGCTACGAGCTCCACTTTTGGAGCTAAAGTATAGGGCGTCTGGAAAACTTTACATTTTGAGCCAGAATAAGAAGCTTTACCATTACTAGACCCATCTGTGAAGACATTTTCAGCACCTTCAATTGGTATAAATTTAGTTATTTTAGGGAGAACCCAATTAGTTAATTTCAAAAATTGAAACAGTTTCATTTTAGGAAAATGGTTATCAAGAATACCCACAAAGTCAGCTAAATGGGTTTGCCAAGTAAGACTATAAAAGCTTGCTGTATTTGTGCCTTCATGAGAGGGACAATAATTTTTCCAGGATCATATCCATGTAATTTAACAATCCGAGTTCTCCCATTTCCTATCACAGTAGTGATTTGATCCAAATAAGGAGTCAAAGTCCATGAATTAGTATGTGGAAGAAAAAGCCACTCTACAAGATCCTGCTCTTGAACAATAACACCAGTAGGTGAATGCTGAGTTGAAAAAATTAGCAAATCTAGAGTATTCTCTGGATCTATTTTATCTATTTGAGTCTTATGCACTTGCTTCTCAATTAGCTGTAACACTGTCTCAGCCTCCTTTGTTAATTGTTGAGGGCAACTGAGACTAGGATCTCCTCTAAGGATAGCAAATGGATTACTCATGGCATAGGTAGGAATGCCTAGGGCAGGTCGTATCCAATTAATATCCCCTAGTAATTTTTGGAAGTCATTTAATGTTTTCAATTGATCCCTACATATGGTTACTTTCTGTGGCACAATTGTAGTGTTATTTGCTAAGGTCCCCAAGTAGGAGTAAGGAGTAGTAGTCTGAATTTTGTCCAGAGCTATAATTAAACCAGTGTGAGAAATCAAATTTTGCAAGTGATCATAACGTTGGAGTAATATTTCTCAAGTGGGGGCAGCACAAAGTATATCATCCACGTAATAAGGTAACACTGTGAAAATTTTTTACGAGTAAGTTCAGCTGCTTGCCGTACATAAGTCTGGCAAATTGTTAGACTGTTTAACATGACTTGTGGCAACACTTTCCAGTGAAAACGCTTAGCAGGCTGCAGGTTGTTTACTGCAGGAATTGTAAATGCAAACCGTTCACAGTCCTGCTCAGCTAAGGGAATAGTAAAGAAACAGTCTTTTAAATCTATGTCTATTAAAGGCCAATTTTTTGGGCTTATAACAGGAGAAGGCAATCCTGGCTGTAATGCCCCTATAGATTGTATAACTGAATTAATGGCTCTAAGATCTGTCAACATTCTCCATTTACCTGATTTTTTCTTAATAACAAAGACTAGAGAATTCCAGGGGGAAAATGTTGGAGCTATGTGACCTTTTTCTAATTGTTCAGTAACTAAGTCCTCTAAAGCCTCCAGTTTCTCTTTACTTAGTGACCAATGTTCTATCCAAATTGGCTTATCTGTTAACCATTTTAAGGTATAGGTTCTGGAGGCTTAACAATGGCTGCCATCAAAAATAATATCCTAAACTTTGGCGGGAACTTTGTCTTTCTGCTTGACGCAATTCCTTCAAATCTTGCAATTTTTTTCCTCGTCCCATACCAGGGACATACCCCTCTTCACGTATCATATGTTGACCTTGAGGGCTGTATAATTGCTCTGGAATTAGAACTTGTGCTCCCCATTGTTGTAATAAATCTTTTCCCCATAAATTTATAGGTACAAAAGTTATAACTGGTTGAATAGTCCCAGGTTGTCCATCAGGCCATTCACAGAGCAAAATATAACTACTTTGATATACTTCAGGAGCTTTACAAACTCCAACTATGTTAAAATGAGCAGGTTAAACTGGCCATGTGGACAGCCAGTGCTAAAGAGAAATGATTGAAATGTCTGCTCCTGTATCTACCAAACCTTTATATTTCTTTCCCTGAATAGTTATTTCACAGGTAGGACATTTATCAGTAATTTGATTCACCCAATAAGCTGCTTTGCCTTGTTTATTTGTGCCTCCAGATCCTCCTGTTCGTTTAATTTCACTTTTCTGATTTCCACATATGACACAATCAGGAGCTGTGCTATACCCTCTCCTGGCTCTGCTTTCCAGGGAACAGAAGTAGATATAATAATTTGAATTTCCCCATTGTAATCTGAATCAATGACTCCTGTTTGTACTTGCACTCCTTTTACATTTAAACTAGATCTACCTAGAAGTAATCCTATAGCCCCTGCTGGCATCATCTGACTGGAGACAGCAACATTCTTTAACAGTCCCATTACAAAAGGAGAACCTAGTCCATATTGATTAATAGCTTGTTTAAATCCTTTAAGTATTTTAAAAGGAAAAGGCTCAAATGTAGCTATAATATTTCCCTGTTGATCGGCGGGGGGCAGGGGGGGCAGGGGGTGTGTGTGTCCTAATGGGGAACTGCCAAGCCTCTATATCACCCTCTCTTCTAGCTTGCTAAATTCCTGGCTGAATAGAACTGAGAGCAGTCACTCGAGGCACTGCTTGAACAGTCACTGGGGCAACTACTTTTTGCCCTGTGTCCTCCACAAAAGAAAGATCTGGAGGGTCAGGCCACCCTTTTTCTTCAAAATAATGAGGGGGTGCAGAAGGGTAGGGACAAACCTCTCCCTCCTTTGCCGCTTTAGCTTTAGCTGGCAAACAAACCTGCTCTGTCACCTCTTCTGTTACTTAGTTATACTCTCCTTCCTCCTCATCATCATTGTGAAAAGGTTCCAAAGTGGAATGAACCAGAGCCCACACTTGCACATTGTTACCCTGATGCTTCCAAGCTCCCCTTCTTACTCACCACAGGGATTGCTTAAGAGTACTCAGGTGTCCTCCAGCTTAGTTCCATGTTCTCCAACCGTCACTCTGGCAACCCTTCGACCCAGGTTTGAGCCCCATGTATAGGCACCACTTGCCGAGACCAGCTCAGTCGTGGAGACCCTACCCCAGCGGAGCTAGAGGAATTAAAGACACACACACACAGAGAAATATGGAGTGCGGAGTAGGAATCGGGGCTGACAGCCTTCAGAGCTGAGAGCCATGAACAGAGTTTTACGCACATATTTATTGACAGCAAGCCAGTGATGAGCATTGTTTCTATAAATTATAGATTAACTAAAACAGGAAACAAAGGGATGGGCTCTGGCTAGTTATCTGCAGCAGGAACATGTCCTTAAGGCACAGATCGCTCATGCTATTGTTTGTGGTTCAGGAATGCCTTAAGTGGTTTTCTGCCCTGGGTGGGCCAGGTGTTCCTTGCTCTCATTCCGGTAAACCAACAACCTTCAGTGTGGGTGCCATAGCAATCATGAGCATGTCACAGTGCTGCAGAGATTTTGTTTATGGCCAGTTTTGGGGCCTGCTTATGGCCAGATTTGGGAGCCTGTTCCCAACACACTGAAACTCCACCTCCCGGGTTCAAGTGATTCTCGTGAGTCAGCCTCCTGAGTGCCTGGGATTACAGGTGCACGCCACTACAGACCCAGCTAATTTTTGTATTTTTAGTAGAGACGGGGTTTTACTATGTTGGCCAGGCTGGTCTTGAACTCCTGACCTCAGCTGATCAACCTGTCTTGGACTCCCAAAGTGCTGGGATTACAGGTGTGAGCCACCACGCCCGGCTGAAAGGGACGTTTTGTTAGTTAGAAAGAATGCTGCAGCAGGGCGTGGTGCCTCATACCTGTAATCCTAGCACTTTGGGAGGCCAAGGTGGGCTGATTGCCTGAGCTCAGGAGTTCAAGACCAGCCTGGGCAACATGGTGAAACCACCTCTCTACTAAAATACATAAAATTAGCCAGGTGTGGTGGCACGCACCTGTAGTCCCAGCTACTCAGGAGGCTGAGGCAGGAGAATCGCTTGAACCCTGGAGGCGGGGGTTGCAGTGAGCTGAGATTGTACCATTGCACTCCAGCCTGGGGGACAGAGGGAGACTCCATCTCAAAAAAAAAAAAAAAAAAGAGAGAGAAAGAAAGAAAGAACACTGCAGAAGAGTGTAGCGGGGAGCTTCGGCAACACAGGACTGAGTGCACCGTGGTGGATTTTTCCTTAGGGGTATTTGTAATCCTTAAAGCAGGAGCTTAAGGGTAATTTGGACCATATTAGCCACTTAGGTCATGATAAATGATTATATTTGTAGACATTTTGGTGCCTTGATGTGAGCAAGACTTGCACAATACGTTTCAACATGCATGCATTCCGTAGATGTATAGAAATTTTAGTTACTTATACTTTTCTGGGAAAGAAGCCTGGTACCAGATGCTGGTTTTAGATAATAGGGAAGTCTCATTATTTCTAAATTCCTCAGATAAAGAGTTTTGTCTCTGTCTGGTCTGCTTGATGGCCACC